>NC_000022.11:32194412-32345927 GCF_000001405.40 Homo sapiens | reverse complement strand
TGAATATTTTCACAGATGATTGTGATTGCTTTAAATAACCTCTGTGGCAATTTAAATTAGACGGATTTAATCTCAGTAACATGCTGGTCGCATAAATGTCATGTTTTAACAGGAAAACTTACTTGTAAATCTTTAGACCTTTGTTGTCACTTAGGCTGGGGACTCACTACCCTATTTGGCATCTTACTAGTTGGGGGGACCTTTTCTGTGTACAGTGATGGGACTTTTGTGCCCTTTACTCTCATTATGCAATAGAGAGTTTGATGCAGTTAATTTGACATGTCAAAACTGGGAAGTCTGTAACCTGTTTTTGTGTTTGTTTTTATTTTTTTAAGATTTCTCTTTTTCATGTCCCTCATTACTTAGCAGATGTTCATTTGGTGGGAATTCTTATTTACATGAATGCTTGAATTTAGTGGCAAGGAAGAAAAGACTCAAATTATTGTTTTTAAAGAAAAAAACTTGCAAACTACGTATTTTTAAGAAATCAATTGAACAGAAAGGAATGCATGATGTTTTCTGAATGGCTTAGATGTGCTTTTTATTCACTGACTAACATTCACTTTTTTACAACTTGTATCAAAAGAAATGATCTTTGTTTTTCTCACAGGCAAAAACACGTTGACACTGGTGGGTTGGCTTTATTAATTAATCTTTTTCTATCAGGTTTTCTTTAATAATGTTACATTTCTAAATTGTAGCACATGTTTTAGTTAATTCTGAAATCGGTTACTTCATTTGTTAATTTATCCCTCATATCATGAATATTGTTTTTTA
Organism: Homo sapiens; assembly: GCF_000001405.40. Lineage (NCBI taxonomy): Eukaryota > Metazoa > Chordata > Mammalia > Primates > Hominidae > Homo > Homo sapiens. The sequence continues at coordinate 32,345,150 of NC_000022.11, read as the reverse complement.
AATGTTCTATACAAATTTGCCTCACTTTTTTTCTTACAGCTTTTGCAGTTAATACATTCTAAACTTGAAAATGTGGTTATCAGTCAGTAATAGAAGTATCCCTGGAGGATTTCTTTAATTTTGTATTAATTTTAGTCCTAGCTACTAAAGTATGTAAGCCTTAAAGTTTAAAATGTTTTTCTTAAATTAGCTGTATACACAAACATTTTCATATACTTTGTGAAATGGGAGGAGATAGTCCATTGTTCTTGTGGGTTTTTTTCTTTAATTTCCGTATTCTGAAGCAGTGCAGATACAGGGTACGCTAATCAGTGAGCAAGGTGGGGAATGTGTACAATATAAGGAGAAGCTGTATGAATCTCAATATAAAATTATGAAGTTTGTTAACTGTAAAATATACTGTATTTATATGTAACTGTCATTCTAAAAGTTGCCATAAAAGCTGAATTGGAAGCTTCATGTCTGCATGAAATTTCCTATATTTTTAATGTGTATGATGAAATTAATTTTTCTTGAATATTAAAATCTGCCAATCGCTACAAAAAGAATACTGAAAATCTCATTTCTAGTTTTAATATATTTTTGCAGGATATTTACATGGATTTAATATTGAAAGCATTTATGTCTTGTCAATATCGCATAAGAGACAGTTACTTAGATGCAATAAAAACTTTATGTACGTGTACATAAAAACATATACTTTCCTGCATCTTTGTTAGTGAATAAGATTTTTAGAAGGGATTTTAATTAAGGTTTAAATAAGAGCTGGGGACATGTGGAATGAGAAATAGAAGGCTCATCAAAGTATATGTGCGTATGTATTCTTATATTTGTGTGTGTCTACAGTAATGCTATCTGGAAACTAGTGCAATGAAAAACAAAACACAGCAGGAGTGAACTGAGGCAAATGTGGCTCAGAAAGGTCTCTTTTGACCTTTAAACCTGACATTTCTTTGTGGATATCACACTGACTCATCCAATGTCACACGTTGAACCCAGCGATGTCTTTTCTTCCTATTGAAAACTAGCCTTCTCATCCTGTTTTCTTTAATCTATCACACAAGCTGAATTCTATCCACCCTCACTGCCATAGCGCTTACAGATATCACTGATATCATCTCTCCTTTCTGTTCACATTTTTACAGTCTCATTATTTATGTTGCTAAGCATTTTCTTACAACTGTTCGAAGCCTACAGGTTAAGATGTGGGTGGAGATATACACTAAAGACTTACTTATTAGATCTATAATGCCAGGGATGAGTTCAATATAACAAACCAGTGGAATGATTCTGCTTCTCTTCTGACTCACTCCTTAAAATGTGTATTGAACAAAGGTGAAGTAGAAAAGTTGTATTAGCATTGTTTTATTTTGCATGACTTAAAATGTGCTTTTCTAATTGATAATTTATCTAGTGCTGCCTCAGACTTGATAATTGGGTTCATCAACAGAGCCTTGAAAAGTTTGGGTAGAGACCACAAAAATGTAGTAGCTATGCATGAAGATTAGCTGATAGTTTATCCGTTAAGACTGCTTATGGATGTAAGCAATGAAAATCTAACTAACAGTAGCTAAGAGAAATAGAGATTTATGTTTTCATGTAGCATAGAGTCTGGAGGTTGGCAGCCGACAACTCTGTGATGCCATCAGCAACCCTACTTTTCTCCATTTCTTAAAATGGAAGATTCTTAGAGTGTTGCTTTTACCGTGTTGTTTTTCTCATCATGCCTCCATCTGCCATCATATCTCATCTGCCATCCAGATAGGAACAAGGGAAAAGGACTAAGGAGGAAAAAGGCAAGGAGATATGTCAGCTGATTGTCCTTTTCTGTCAGGTTAGCAGTGTCTTCCCCAAAGGCCCCATCTAGCAGATTTCTGACTATGTCTCTATGGCCAGAACACACCGTGGCACACATTCATTCTAAACTGGAAGATGGTTAGGAAAAAGGAAGGTGTGGGGGTGTGAAACCACCTGCCAAAAGTGTCACAGTTGTGACCAGTTTATTTCACAGTTTGAGATGACATGGTCATAAAGACCTTTGTCACCTTCAGAATGCAGCAAAGCATGAGAGAGTATTAGAAGGCCGCTGAGAAAGACAAACAAGTTTTAGGATTACAGAAGTATTCAACAACCAACCATGTAAGATCTGAAAGGGATGATTTTTTCAGTTCTGTGTTTGATTAAATACTCAACTGTACAGGAGCCATGGCTACATGGCAGGGATTGGGGGAAAAAAGACAAAACTTGGAAATAGCAGTTGTCAACAATGTGATCTAGCAGCCAAAAAGCTAGTTTTCTCATGCTCTGTATTAATTGAAGTGAATATTTTTTGACTCTAATTTTGAATATGCCATTTTGTTCTGATGGGTGTTTTCCTCTCCAGAATGTTAGCTGGCATGTTTGGGAATCCAGATTTGAATCAGAATTATTATAATATTGAATAACTTTTATTGGGAAAGTATTTTCCAGTGGACACTATTAAATAAGCTTAATTTTAAATTAATTTCATATGAAGTAGAAGTAAATTACTTCTAAGTATTGCTTAAATAAGCTTAATTTTTAAATTAATTTTATATGAAGTAGAAGTAAATTCTAAGTACTTCTATTTTGATTTTTAATTTATTAAGATTATTAACTTTCACAAAGAAATTTTGGGTTGTTTTTGTTTATCTTAAAGTCTGTGGATTTCAGCTCCTGCTAGTGGTTTTTTTCTCTCTATAGTTATATCTACCAGGTCTCATTCACATAGATTAGTTATTACAAATCTTGATTATTGTCAAGATTTGCTTCTTCCATCATTATTAGTTACAGATTTTATTCTGTGTGGTTTTAGGCTTCTACAATGTTACTTGGTGTTGTTTCTACCAGGTCTAATTTTTCCTGGGTCAAATTTTTTTGTGTTCTTTGAAATCAAAAGGAAGAGGTTCTCAAGTCAGTTCTTACATCTAAAGCAAACTTCATGTTTTAGTTATAATGTGTAGCATTAGCCATTTGTGTAGCATTAGCCATTTTCAGTTTTATTTTATGCTAATTCCTGCTACCATTTATTTAGCACATAGGGTTTGAGTTTGTATCATATACCAGGGACTGTACTAGCCACTGGTGATACATTGGTGAACAGAGCTTACGGTCTGCCTGGGGAGACAAAGAAAATAAAATGCTTTTGTAATAACAATAAAATTTCAAGTAGTGTTAAATGTCGGGGAGAAAATGAAGCGATCCAGGGAGATCTCTCTAACGAGAGGCAATTTAAGCAGAGACCTGAATATGCTCTTTACTCACATAGTTTCATGGTTCACTCAGGTGGAGGGAGTGAAATGTAAAAAGGGCATGAGTTGAAAACACGCTGGGTGTATTTGGAGAACAGCAAGAAAGGCAGCGTTAGGCAGAGTGCATTAGCAGAAGAAGTGTAGGAAATGAAGAGGTTGGCAGGGGCAGAACATAAGGGGCCATTTAGGCCACGGATAGGACTTCAGAATTACTCAGTTGTGGCAAGAAGCATTTGGTAGGTTTTGAAGGATGCTCTCCGGCGTCACGTCCGTGAGCCTTCCCCGCTGTTCACGGCTCTGTTGAAGACAGTGCTCTGCTGTCCCAGGATTCACGGTCCACTGGACTAAGCACTGGTCAGCCAGGGGAGGAGGAGCCAACACAAAGAGTTTCAGTGGATGAGTAGCTAGGAGTTCACCAAAGTGGGGAAAGGTCATCCCGGCAGAGAGGGCAGCATAGGCAGAGCCTCGGAGGAGGGAGGGGCTGAGGGGAACTGGGGAGCCCTGGGTCCTCTGCCCCACAGGCTCCTGGCCCCTCACGGCCGCCCTTCTTGCTCCTCTTTGCGGCTCCATCCTCATCTCCCTGATCTTAGAGACCAGGGCTCTTCCCTTTAACTTCTCTCTCATCTCCACCCACTCCCTGGGGACCCCCACCCAGACCCACAGCTCCAATCCTGTCCACCTCCCAGTCTTTCTCCCCTGGTCTCTCTCCCTTGAATCCAGACTAGCTGTTCATTGCAGAGCCTGAGTCCTCAAGAGCAGCTCTTGGATACCCCATAGACGTGGGAGACTGGCACATCCACGTCCCCGCTGCCTCCTACCATCTCATTGGCTCCTCTCTTTCTTTCCTGTTTCACGTGTTCCATCAGCAATACCTTGAAAATGAAGCCAGAATCCATCCGCACCCACCCCTCCACTGAGACCAGCCCTCCTTGTCCGTCGTCTTTGGCCAGGATGGAGGCAGCCGCCTCCGCATGTCTCCCTGATGCCAGCCTGTGTCCCCGACAGTGGCAGGGCGATCTTTTAAAAACATTAAGTCAAGACGTGCCGATGGTCTCCTTTGCACTTAGGAATCAAAATGCTTTCCTTGGCCAACAACATGATCTGACCCCACCCCACCCCACTGTCCCTCTGTCCTCATCTCCCGACACTGGCACTTGGCTGCAGCCGCACCAGCCCCGCTGCTGTTCCTCCAACCAGACCTCTCCCCTCCGGGATACCAGCAGGGCTCATGCCTCCCTTCCACAGCCCCTGCTCAGGGTCACCCGATCAAAGGGGCCTTCTCTGACCAAGGTTTACAAAATAGAAGCAGCCACCTACTCCCGTCACTCTCCCTTTGTCCTCCTTCAGCTGCCTTGTCACGTGCGTCGCCGCCTGACATAACGTTTGCTTTGTGGCTTTGTGCCTGTCTCCTCTGCTGGATGGAAACCCCAAGAGAGTTGGGATTGGTGTTTCTTGTGCTCAGCTGTGACCCCAGCATATAGAACAGTGCCTGACACATAGTAGGTGCTCAGTACATCCATGTTGCATGAATGAATCTTCCTGCCCAGTGCCTTGTGCACAGAAGGCACCTAGACAGTGTCCGATCAATGAACTGCATTAGTACCGTTAGTAACAGTAGCTCCCATTTGTTGAGGGCTCACTGAGCTAAGCAGCTGTAACAAATTGTGCCATTTAGCCTCCCCAGCTGCACTGCAGCTTGGCCATCCCGAGCCTCATTTTATGAAGGAGACACCGAGGAGGCTCGGAGAGAGATTCCTGGGAAACGCACAGCAGCTGAGCTGGAATTGGAACTAAGGTCTGGTGAACTCCAAAGCCGACATCCTTCTACTGGGAAGAGCAACTTCTCTGCCTTTACTTCTCTCCCTGTGAGAGCTAAACCTGAGATGATGCCACTCTATGCTGGGTGCATAGCTGCCCTGTGGTTGTGGGTTCTCTGTGCAAGGCAGGTCTCACCCATCCCCAGGGCAGAACCTCGGGGGTCCCCGAAAGCACCTGAGATCTGGCCCGCAGGTGTCAGTGAAACAAGTCCTGGTCTGGGTCCAGGAGCCTCCTGAAACTCAGCCTGGCTTCTGATCTGCCATTGGCCCCTTCGTGGGCTACCAGGCAGGGGTTTAAACGAGGTGAGGGTGCCAGTCTTTGTTGGGGTGCATGGTTGGTTTTGCTCTCGGGGTTTGTCTTTTCCCCTGCACCATTTGTGAAGGTCTTTCGCAGCCTTGAATCTTTCCAGAGGCGGCAGGTGTACTCATCTCTTCCACCTGGTGGCTCCCCACCTCCCTCTGCAAACCACTCCCCACAAGAGGAGGGCCCGGCGGAACAGAAGGTAAAAACACAACACCCACGCTTAGTTTTCATGAGTTTACGTCGAACACCTCCTAGCTGTACTCTACTCTAGCAAACCCGCAGAGGGGTGAGCTGCGTAGTCTTCGAATCAGAGCTGAGTTCAGATCCTGTCTACGGGCCAGTGGGCAACTGCAGGTAAGCCAGTAGCTCTCCTGAGTCTCAGTGTTCCCATCAGTACAATGGACACAAGTAGCCTTTAGGTTGTGAGATGATTGTAAGGACTGGAACAGAGCCCGGCCTGTGGCAGATGCCTCAGGAAATGCTAACTGTGATGATTGTTGCGACCATTATTTGAAGAGTAAAAAATAGGAAAAGAAAAGCCGCTACGGATCCCACTCACACGCAGCTACGACTGCTTTGCGTTTTTCTCCCTTCTAATGCACACCTGCTTTTGCGCGTCTCTAATGATGTGCCTTGATTTTATTCTCCTATTGAATCAGCGATGACCCTGCGATTTTACCTGACCTTTCTAAATACCATTTCAGCGGCCACCGAGTTGTCCGGATTCCATGTGTGGGATTCATGCAGTCATTTCCCTACAGCGGGGCATTTATACTGCATGTAATCTTTTTAGTAATACGATGACAACACCAATCCCAGCTCTCCTGGGGGCAGGAGGAGGAGACATACTCCAGAAAACAGCAGACACCTTTGTGAGTTTGTGGCCTTTCCTTTTCTGGAATGATTTCCTCTGGATAGATGCCAGGCAGGGAGATTCCTGAGTCCAAGGGGGTGACAGTTTTATGGGTCTCGATTTCAGCACCAGCCTCATTCCCAAAGGGCTGGTGGAGTGAGGCAGCTTTTGAGGGCACTGGATTCGGGGCACCCTCTCCAGTATGGGGTGCCCCCATTTCTATACAGTTTGCATTTCTTGAGATGGAGTCTCATTCTGTCGCCCAGGCTGGAGTGCAGTGGTGTGATCTTGGCTCACTACAGCCTCTCTCTGCCTCCCAGGTTCAAGTGATTCTCCTTTCTTGGCTTCCCGAGTAGCTGGCATTACAGGCGCCCACCACCACGCCTGGCTAATTTTTGTATTTTTAGTGGAGACAGGGTGGGTGGTGGGGGAGGTTCACTGTGTCAGCCAGGCTGGTCTCCGAACTCCTGACCTCAAGCAATCCACCTGCCTCGGCCTCCCAAAGTGCTAGAACTACAGGCGTGAGGCACCGCGTCCAGCCTGTTTGCATTTCTTTGATGGTTTTTGAGATAAACCACTTTCATTTGTTAACTGTATTTCCTCTCGTGAGTTGCCCATTTATTTTACTCCACCCCCAGGACAGTTGAGGTTTGAAGCCATTTTCATGAAGCAACATTTATCCCCCACGTTTCAGTTCCTTGGTGTTCTTGTCTGTGTACATCCCTCATTCTGTTTACTTAATACATTTTTAACTGACTTGAAATCAAGTCAAATTTGTAGAAAACTCAGATTTGCTCTAAGCAATATCATCGCTGATTTAAGAGTTGTATTTTTCCTAATTTGCATTAAAACAAGTAAACATATCCAGTATGAGATGGGGCTGCATCACACTGACTCAAGAGAGTTCAAGCTGTAGGAATTTTGGGAGCCTGTTGTTAAACACAGCCACTATTGCAAATTATATAAACATGCAATTAAATACATTGTATTGAACAGAGGTAATACATACTCAAAATGTATCACTTCTTAGTTCTTTTGCTACATTTACCTATCATCTGTGCTGGCAAGGTTATTTGCATCTGTTGTGTCTGTATGGTGGAAATTTATTAAGTGGTGACTACTTGTATCTCTTCCTGTCTTTGATTCAGTGACAGCACCAGTATTTACGCTCGGGAAATTGACAGCACGTGCTACAAATCAGAGTTTTCTCCCTCTGGAGAACAGGTTGTTAAATGTTGACCAGCTTGCCCCTGTGCATAAGTGTTCAAATGCTAGTGTATTTATCTCCTCACATAATCTCACTTGCTCCAGTGGTCTGTGAACACTACTGTGGGAAGCCAATGTGTTTCTTTTTTCTTTTCTTTTTTTTCTTTTTGGAGACAGTCTTGTTCTGTTGCCCAGGCTGGAGTGCCGTGGTGCGATCTCAGCTCACTGCAACCTCCACCTCCGGGGTTCAAGCAATTCTCTTGAATTAGCCTCCTGAGTAGCTGGGACTACAGACCTGTGTCACCACACCCAGCTAACTTTCTGTATTTTTAGTAGAGACAGAGTTTTGCCACGTTGCCCAGGCTGGTCCTGAACTCCTAAGCCCAGGCAATCCGCCTGCCTTGGCCTCCCAGAGTTCTGGGATTACAGCCAATGTGTTTCTTATGTGCACAGGAAAACAGCAACCTAATGTTTCCAGGGACACCCACAGACAGGCACCCAGGGCGATGATAGCCAGGACAAGAGGCAAGGTGGTCCTGGGAGGCCAATTCATCAGCCCTTTGCAGCTCCTGGCCCTTCCCCAGGCAAAGAAAGCAGATGAGGAGGCCGAAAGACTGATCTGACCTCCGTGCCACACATCTGGGTCTTTAGTCCCCCCAAGGAAACGTCTTAGGCATCCTCTTTGCAAAGCTTCCAGCCCTGTCCTGCTTTTCTTTCTCTGGAACAATCCGTGTTCATTGTATGGATGCAGCCCAGACAAGATTAATTTACTCATTTATTCAGCAAGCATTTATTGAAGGCTGGCCGTAGGCCATGCCGCGTGTTAAGTTCTGGGAACAGAAAGACAAAAAAGGCCAGGCCCCTGCCCTTAAGGAACTCTGTCCAGTGATGTGTAGAAAATCCATTCTGACCCTGCCCTGGCTTTGCTTGGAAAAATCAATGTCTTCAGCCAAAGGGTGAATATTCCTTAGGGAAGGTTTTGGAAAAGTCATTTTGAAGAGGCACTTCTAGAATGAACTAGACCTAACACAGCTATTTGGAGTTTAGATGGAGATTTTGTGTCTCTGGGCCCAGGGTGCAGCTGTCAGGAGAAAGGAAACAGCTCCCATTAGGAGCCCAAGCTCCTAACAGGCAACATGGCACACCTGTTTCTGGGGACGTGCTGCCTGCAGCGGGCATCTTACAAGCCCCCTCCTGGGAGGTGGCTCCTATAATCCTGCCCCGGAAGAGACCCGCGTGGCTCCACCCAGCCAGTTTGGAATCTTTAGTTTGGAATCTTAATTAAAATGCCTTAACGCAGCAACTACTGTGCAAACAAAGATGCCAGCTTGCGTGAGTAATTAACAAAAAGACGCTTCCACAAAGGCCCAGGTGAATCTGGGGGCTCGTGAATACGCCTCCAGCTCAGAGGCTGCTCCTTTATGTTGATTTGACAGGAATTCCACTTAATCACCCTCTGAGCTGCAGCAAGAGTAATGTGGAAGACGCGAGATCCTACAGAGAGGAGTGTGGTTGGGCCGGTGGCAGTAATGTTCCCAAAAACCAATTTAGTTCAGTGACCCTTAATGGGCCCAGCTCCCAGATCAGGCACTGCAGGGTGGGGCAAGTGGATAAGGAATTTATTTCCTTTGTCCTGGGTCAGGGAGGACTATGGATTCTACTTTATTTCACCCACTATTTCACCCCTGGTCTTAACTGCTAAAATACCTGCTTCCAAGAATAGATGCTTGTTGGAACTGCAGACGTCTCCCAACACGGGCATTTCGGCTCCCGTGACAATGATGGAAACCGAGGCTTGCCCGTGGGCTGGAGGATGCTCGCTCCCTGCTCCTCCTAAGCACCGTCCAGATCGGACTTCCTGTAGCTTCTAAGGGGTCCCAGAGGTGCTGGGGGAGAGGGGGACTTGTCACCTGACCCCTTCAGCCGTGAGCTCTGGGATTGAGTCTGTCACACCCTGTGTGCTGGGACCTACGGCTTCAGGAATCGCTGGGTGCTGCAGCTGGGGGCAGGCAGGAACAATGGGCTCTGGGGCCGCCTGGGCTGGGCTTGGACCGGACTCCGTGCTGCCCAGCTGTGTGTCCTTGGGCAAGTTGCATCACCTCTCTGGGCTGCCATGTGGATGTAGGCACAGAGAGCAAATGAGCTCCACCTGGCAAGGGGATGAAATCAGAGGGGATGTGGGGAGGGCCTAGCTCCGTACTCCGCTCATAGGAAGAACCCCCAAAGTCTATCCTCTTTTCTTGTCTCTGTCCACTCTGTGTGTGGAAAGAGGTCCCTGCCAAGCGTGCCTCCTTCACTTACCCCTCATTTGAGGTTGCTCAGGGCTTACTCACAGCTTGTCTAGCCAGACAAGAAGGAGGAGATACTGTGCTAGGTGGTTCTGTTGCCAGCCTGGTTGCTCTGGGCTCGTTGTATCCCAGGATCTGCTTCCCGGTGAGCTGGCTTGAGCTGTCTGAGACGTGGGAGGCGGAAGCGGCTGTCACTGGTGCTGGTGGTCTCACTGGGCAGAGCCAGAGAAGCACAGCTGCAGGGGTGTCCCAGGGCTCCCAGTGTCCTTGGGTTTTCCATCTGTGTCTGGCTCTCCTTCCCGACCACCTACCCTAGGCTGGCAGACCCTGTGACCCTCCCTGTGATCTCTTGGAGGCAGGATGGGCCTGGCTTCAGCCTCCATGCGAGCTGGCCCCGCTCTCTCCCTGCCCAGCACTGCGGAGCGTCCCTTCTCTGAGCCTCCACGGTCCCTTCTGGACCTTCACTGCCCAGCTCCTCCTACAAGTGTGGAAACTCAAGTCCTTATCATAAATGCCCTATTCCATGAAGCCATGGCTGCTGTGTCCCTGCCTGGACTCTGACCAATACTGTTGTCACTTGTTTCTAAGGGACATGTCCTTGTCACCCTTCAGGGCCTCAAGCCCAGATGTGTCCCCCGATCAGTGTGTACGCTTACTGGAGTGCCGCTGACGTCCTCCCCAAAGCCATGATTCAATCCCTGGGACATCTCACCGTTGACAGCATCCAAGAGGGAGGGAGCTTCGGGACTCCAGTCTGCAGGGTTGTCGAGATGGGAGAGTGGTTCCGTTCGTTTAAGGGAAACATGGAGCCAGCGAAGCACGGGGACTTGGTCAGGTGGGGGTTTTGGTGAGAGGCCACTACCACACAGCTCACAGCAGCCAACCAGCAGGAATGGAGGCAGGGAGGCCCGGGGGGAGGCCATCACTGTGCCCCAGGCAGTGGGGGGACACAAGGCAGTATTTTGGAGGTAGTGCAGGCAGGAGCCACAGAGGAATTGGATGTTGGAGGGGCACACTGAGGACGAGGACAACTCGAGGGTCTGAACCAAGAGACACGTGGTGTTGCTGCTGACCAGGAAGGACAGTGCTGGAGGGGCGGGGCTGGGCACAGGGTCGTGCATTGTTACCACCATGGGACGCCAGCACCAGGGGAGAGGTGGAGAGGGCAGAGGTGGGTCCTGAGGGGCTAGGACAGGTCACAGGTGAGCAGGAGTCTGTGTGGCATGGTGTGTGCATTGTGTGATGTCTGTGTGGCATGGGGTGTGTGTGTTGTCTGGCATGGTGTGTATATGTATATTGTGTGGGTCTATGTGATGTGTGTGTGTGTGTTGTCTGGCATAGTGTGTGTATATTGTGTGAGTCTGTGGCATGGTGTGTGTGTGTGCATGGTGTATCTGGCATGGTGTAGTGTGTGTAGTGTGTCTGTGTTGCATGGTGTGTGTGTATATTGTGGGTCTGCAGCATGGTGTGTGACGTGTGTCTATGTGTATGTTGTGGGTATGCAGCATGGTGTGTGGCATGGGGTGTGTGTGTATGTGTATTGTGGGTGTCTGTGGTGTGTGTGTGTATATTGTGAGGGTCTATGTGGTGTGTGTGTGTGATATTGTGTGGATCTGTGTGGCATGGTGTGTGTGTTTATGTGTATTGTGGGTGTCTGTGTGGCATGGTGTACGTGTGTGTATTGTGGATGTTTACTGTCCTGGGCAGTAGAAAGGACGTTGGGGAAGCAGCCCCAGCATCAGGGGCGGGCCAGGAATGCAGAATGCATGGAAGCTGGTCAGGTCAGAGCCCGGGCTGAAGGAAGCACGGAGATGCAAGGGCACCAGGGCCTGTGGGACCAGGAGCCGATGATCAGGGCCACAGTGCACACAGCCTTGGAGGTAAAGGACACATTCATTTCATAAGGATTAAAAAGCATGGGCTAAGTCTGGGCCCCAGGCCAGGACTGGGGATACAGAGTGGATCAGTCCCCATCCCTGCCCTGAGGTGCTTACCTACACCCATTCACCTCACAGGTTTCCCCACTCTGGCCCCTTGGCGAGCTCCTACTCATTCCTCAAAACCTCACTGAGGTCATGCTCCTTCCGGAGGCCTCTCCCCATCCTCTAAAAGACCCCTCTGCCTGCTGCCCACTTCCAGCACAGTCAGAGAGCCCCGTGGCCTGTTTCCACTGGACTGGGTGAGGGCAGGACTGGTCTGAGTCTTCTGGGGGGGGGGTGCCAGTGCTAGAGCAGAGTCCTGGGCTGGGAGTCCCGGCACCTCATTCCACTCCTACACCCACAGACTCACTGTTTAACCTCGGGCAGGCCACGTCCCTCCTCGGCCTCACTTTCCCCTTGTGTAAGATGAGGGAAGGGACTGAGGCTTCTAAGCCATCTCTCAGCTTAAAACCTCTTTGACTTTCTATCTGGCTAATGGAGATGCTGATCAGGGGTAAGAATGGATTTGAAAAACGCTTTGAAAAATTCATAGCAGGAGGCAAAGGAGAAAGAGTCTTTATTTTCGCAGAGTGGGAGGCAGGAGTTACGGACAGAGGCTGCCGATGAAAAGGACAGCATCTCAGAGCACTTTGTGGTATTTAATGTCTAATGCATCCTCCCGTTAAAGCAGTGGCATCAAATATTTACCAAAGCAGTATTAAAAATTAACCTTTACCATGGGGATGTATAAAGTCCCTAAGTTCCCCGAGAAGTGTCTGAACGTCAGGAGGGTAAAGCGACAGGAAGGCAGGCTACAAGTGAGGTGTGAATAATGGAAGCCTCTAAAACTGACACAGCTCCCTGTTGACCCCACTCCCAACGCCAGGGCAGCCTCCGGCCCTGTCTCTGCAGAGGCTCCCAGCCCCTCAGAGACTCCCAGAAGGCCCGCAGGATAAGGACAGGCCCTCAGCTGGGCATCCACAGCTTTCCATGGCCTGGCCCTGCCTCTCGGGGCAGCTGGGATCTGTAGGATGGAAAGGAATGAGCCTGTCGGAGTTGGAAGAGACCAGGGGAGGAAGTGGGAAGTAAGTGGTCCAGGCACTGGAAATAGCATGTGCAGAGGCACTGAGGCAGAGACAGCCGCACATCCATCCATCTGAAGGGCAGTCAGGTGGCATGAGTGTGGGGGAGGAAGTGCAGGAGGGGACGGGTGGCAGATGCAAGTAGGTCTGACTGTGCAGGGCCATGGTGAGATGTGGGCTTCTTAGTCCAGGGACAAGGGTGCCCTCGAGGAGAGTGACAGGAGGCACTTGCCTTTGGGAAGGGAGCTGGGAGTCCACCGGAGAGGCTGCCACTGTCTCACGAGCTGCAGCCATGTCTGCGGCTTGGCCGAGGGTGGTGGTGGGGAGGGGCCGGCACCAGGGAGTGGAGTCCATGGGATTGGCCAGGGCCTGGGGTGGGGGCTGAGAAGGAGGTGGGGGTCCAAGGAGGATGTCTGGGCCCCTGGGCTGAGCAGCCTGGGAGATTTTCCAAGATGGGGACCTTGGGGCAGATGTGGCTTTGGGCTCAGCAGCATGGAGTGTCTTGAGTTTGAGATGCCCCGAGAGACCACTGCAATGGGCCTGGGGAGGAGCAGCCCCCACCCGTGGCAGGAGGAACCCCAGGGCGAATGGGGTCTGGAAGCCGCGAGAGGATCAGGGCAGCCGAGGGGCATGGGATCTGGCCTCGGATGTGGGCTGCGTGTCCTGCCCTCCGCCTGTCGCTCCTGCGATGTCCCTTGCTTCCCATGCCCACGTCCCCATCCCAGGTACAATCCGTGGGCTCCAGCAACACAGCAGGCACTGTCCTGTCTGCCAGAAGCCGCTGGGCATAGCTGGCACCAAATAGCTTTGTCATCTCCACCCCACCGCTTGCCTTTTACTATAGCTGGGTTGCCCGCCAGCTTCTTCCTGAAGGAAACAAAGTTTCCGTGTGTCATTATTTAGATTATGCGGCGCCCTATAAAGCACAAAATAATTCTCATTGTCCTCAAGCAGGATCTTTATTTTGGTATTTCCTGGAGACCAGGGGAGCTGACTGGGGCGCGAGGGAGTTTGCAGAGCACGGCCATTTCCCCCGTGCCGCCATCTCGCCAGCGGCGTTTTTCTTGCCATTTTGCTGGAAACTCAGGCTCAGAGAGGCCAAAGCACGTGTCCAAAGTCAAACAGCCAGGGAGAGGCTCTCCCAGAGCACCTACAATGTGCCTTGGTGCCCCAACACACACACAGCCCCCAACACACAGCCCCCAATACACACACCAGAGCCCCCAACACATACACCAGAGCCCCCCAACACACACACCAGAGCCTCCAACACACAGACACACCAGAGCCTCGAACACACACAAGAGCCTCCAACACACACACACCAGAGCCTTCAACACATACACACCAGAGCCTCCAACACACACACACCAGAGCCTCCAACACACACACACACCAGAGCCCCCAACACACACACCAGAGCCCCCAACACACACACCAGTGCCCCCAACACACACACACCAGAGCCTCCAACACATACACACCAGAGGCCTCCAACACACACACACACAGGAGAGCCCCCAACACTCCTACACAGCAGACCCTCCAACACCTACACACCAGAGCCCCCAACACACACACACACACCAGAGCCTCCCAAAACACACACCAGAGCCCCCAACACACACACCAGAGCCCCCAACACATACACCAGAGCTTCCAACACACACACGAGCCCCCAACATACACACCAGAGCCCCCAATACACACAGAGCCCCCAACACACACACCAGAGCCCCCTAACACACACACCAGAGCCCCAATACAGAGCCCCCAACACACACACCAGAGCTTCCTGACACAACAGTTTCCTACACACACACACACACCACAGCCCCCAACACACACAGAGCCCAAAACATACACACCAGAGCCCCCAACACAGACACACACAGCCCCCAACACATACACACCAGAGCCAACACACAGTGGAGCCTCCAACACACACACACACACACCCCAGAGCCTCCAGAGTCCCCAACATATACACCAGAGCCCCCCAACACACCAGAGCCCCAATACACAGAGCCCCCAACACACACCAGTCCCCAACACAGAGCCCCCAACATATACACCAGAGCCCCCCAACACACACACCAGAGCCCCCAACAGAGCCCCCAACATATACACCAGAGCCCCCCAACACACACACCAGAGCCCCCCAACACAGAGACCCCAACATATACACCAGAGCCCGCAATACACACAGGGCCCAACACACATACCAAAGCCCTCCAACACACACACAACAGAGTCCCCAATACGCACAGAGCCCCCCTGACACATCAGAGCCTCCAACACACATACCACAGCCCCCCACACACACACCAGAGCCTCCAACACACACACTCTAGAGCCCCCAACACACACAGACCAGAGCCCCCAACACACAGACACCAGAGCCCCCAACACACACACCAGAGCCCCCAACACACACACCAGAGCCTCCCAACACACACACACCAGAGCCCCCAACACACACACCAGAGCCCCCAACACACACACCAGAGCCTCCCAACACATACACACCAGAGCCTCCAACACACACACACCAGAGCCCCCAACACACACACACCAGAGCCCCCAACACACACACCAGAGCCTCCAACACACACACCAGAGCCTCCAACACACACACCAGAGCCCCCAACACACACACACACCAGAGCCCCCAACACACACACACCAGAGTCCCCAACACACACCAGAGCCCCCAACACACACACACCAGAGCCCCCAACACACACACACCAGAGCCCCCAACACACACCCCAGAGCCCTCCAACACACACACCAGAGCCAACACACACACCAGAGCCCCCAAGACACACACCAGAGCCCGCAACACACACACCAGAGCCCCTCAACAGACACAGAGCCCCCCCAAGAAACACACACACACCCCCACTGCCTCGTCCCCTCCCCATCTGCATCCATCTAGATGGCCCAGCAAGATATTTTGCTAAAGACAAAGTAAAAATTCCCTCAAGCATGTCCGCGGCCCCGCTGTGAATGTTTTCTCCCGACTCAATAGACATACATTTCTTGAGTGTTTTCTGTGTGCCAAGTGTTGTTACATGCAGTGTCTCATGTCCTCACAGAAATCTCCATGTAGCAGATGAGTAAACTGAGGCGGGTGGAGATGGTGACTTCGAGCTAAGGCTGAGTGAAGATTGGTGCATCCTGGGGTCCTCTCTGCCAGGTGCACACTGAATGGCAAGGCTGGGCCAGAGCCCTCAGTTGCCTCCCAACAACTCTCCCCTGAAGCAGAAAAAAGCAGAAAAGGGGATGAAAGTGTGATGCAGAGAAGCCTGATCCAGACGCCAGCTCACTCTGGCGGAACCCACACATCCCTGAAGGATGGGGCTGGTGCTAGGGAACCCCCAGAGCCATGCTGGCACCAGTAGGAAGAGGAAGCAGGAGGCAGAGGGAAGACCTTCCCAGGCAGCCTGGCTCCACAGCAGATTTGCTGGCCTCAGTAAGCAGGGAGCTCCCCATCACTGGGGTGTGCAGGCCAAGGTCAGAGGCTCGTTCCCTGAGGGTAGAGTAGAGGGATGTCCAGATGCACAATCTCCAAGATCCTCCCTCTCCCAGAATCTCTAGCACTGCCCTGAGGCCTTGTATTAGCTAGCTGGTGCTGTGTAACAAGGTACCCCACAAGTCAGCAGCTTAAAACAAGCGTTTAACTCTTTCTGTGAGTCAGAAAGGTGTAAGTCAGGGTGTGGCTTTGCTGGGTCTCCTGGCTTGGGGTCTCTCAGGAGGCTGCAGTCAAAGCATTGGCTGAGACTATGGTCATTCTCAAGGCACTGCTGGGGAGGATACACTTCCCAGCTCACTCAGGTGGCTGGTAGTAGGTTCACGTGTTGGTTGGCGTTGTCAGTTGCTCACTGGGTGGGCCTCTCCGCAGGGTAGCTCATGGCATGACAGCTGACCACCCAAAAAGAGGGCTCTGGGAGAGAGAGTTCAAGGTGCAAAGCCCAGTGGAACCCACTTTTTTGGAGCCTAACCTTGGAAGGGACATCCCATGCCTGTCACTTCTATTCTATCCATTTGTTACAAGCGAGCCACTTGGCTCTGTCCCCATCCTTTGTTCTCCTTTGGGTACCAAAGGAGGGTGTGAGTAGCTGCAGGTGGATTCTTTGGAGGCTGTCTTAGGGCTGCATACCACAGGCCTCAATGTAGAATCAGAGTAGGGGGCTGTGAGCAGCCACATTTTACAGATGGGGGAACTGAGGGCAGAAGGGAAAAGTCAACAGTTGGTGTGTGTGTGCTGGGGTCTGGTGTGTGTGTTTTGGGGGCTCTGGTGTGTGTGTGTTTGTGTGTTGGGGGCTCTGGTGTGTGTGTTGGGGACGTCGTCCAAGGTCACACGGCTTGTGAATTGCTGGGGCTCTGGTGTATGTGTTGGGGACCTGGTCCAAGGTCACACAGCTTGTGAATTGCTGGGCCCAATTCAGGCTGGGGCCTGTAGGACTCTGGTTAAACATCTTGGGCCACATTAGAGGCCTCCCATGCCATGCCCGAGGTGCCCCATCCCGGCAGAGAGCATTCCTCAGAGTGCAGAGGGTGTGCAGGGAGGCCGGCAGGGCTCCAGGGACCTTGCTGCATCTGTGTCCGTGGACTGACATCCCCTGAGAGTGACTACATCCGTCAGGACACTCCCAACTGTGTCCCAAACCCGTGCACATTGGACCCTGTCAGGAGGACAGGTCTGCAGGGGATGGGAAGGTGAGTCCAGCCACCAGAGCTCACACCACACCTGCTCTCTGTCATTTATTCAGCAAACTCCCATAAAGCTCTCCCACGTGCCAGGCTCTGCACTGGGCTTGGAGAGAGGATGCCAAAAGGAACCACCATTGAGAAGATCTGGTCCCCAGCAGGCCTCGGGTCTCTCTTCAGCTCCTCCCTGGGCAGCATGGCCCTGAGCCTCTCTTTACCCAACTGTAAAATGGAGTCATTGTCTCTGCTTTCCTCCCAGTGAAGGTGCAAGAACTGGGCCATCCCATGGGTCCACCAGGGCTTTGACAAGGCAGGTGCTGGGGCAGAGCACTCTGGCCAGGAAGCAAAAGATGAAGGTTCCCATCTTGGCCCCAGCCTGGATCTGTGCCCAGTGATAGTCATCAGCCTGGATCTGTGCCCATTGCATTGTGTGGACATACCACGCCATGTTTCTCCATCACCTTTTGAGGAAACTTCTGTTGTTTCCACCTTCTAACCGTCATCAGTAAAGCTGCTGTGAACCTTCGCATCCAGGTCTCCTGGTGAAATGAATGCACACATCTCTCTTGGGTATTATGTGAGTGTCCCGTAGCTGCTGTAATAAACTATCACAAATGCAGTAGCTTAAAACAACATAGATTTAGTCTTGTACAGATCCGGAGGACAGCAGTTGGAAAGGAGACTCATGAACACCTCATGTCAAGTTATCAGCAGCACGGGGCCCTGCTGGAGGCTGCGGGGGTGAGTCCATTTCCTTGCCTGCTCCAGTTCCCAGAGGCACCCACATTCCTTGGCTTTTGGCCCCTTCCAGATGCAAGGACATCTCTCCGACCTCTGCTCCCGTGGCCACATCCCCTCCGCTGACTCTGAGCCTCCTGCCTTTCTCACTTAGGACCCTGTGATGGCAGCAGGCCTAGCCAGTTAATCCAGCCTCATCTCCCTCTCCCAAAACCCTCAACTCTATCGTGTCAGCAGAGTCTCTTTCTCCGTATTGAGGTAGCGTTCCTTGGGATGGCCATCTTGCCCCGAATAGGTTCCTTGATGTCCCTGTACTGTTTGCAGGGACACATTTACAAGTAGGATTAATAGCATCTCCTCCTTTCAGGTCCCTGTGAGAATCCCTTAGAAAAATTTATGAAGGTGGCCGGGCACAGTGGCTCATGTCTGTAATCCCAGCACTTTGAGAGGCCGAGGCGGGTGGATCACCTGAGGTCAGGAGTTTGAGACCAGCCTGACCAACAGGGTGAAACTGTCTCTACTAAAAATAAAAAAACTAGCTGGGCATGGTGTTGGGTGCCTGTAATCCCTACTACTTGGGAGGCTGAGGCAGGAGAATCGCTTGAACTCGGGTGGCAGAGATTGCAGTGAGCCAAGATCGTGCCATTGCCTGGGCGACAGAGACTCCATCTCAAAAAAAAAAAAAAAATACGTGAAGGCTCCCAGCCCCATACCCCACGTGCATACAGTCAGCGCCAACTATCAGAAGCCGCTGCCGCTGCTGGGGAACACATTGTCTCCAGTTCACCTGGAATGAGGCGTGTTGTGCCTCATGACTCCTCTGCTTTTGTCTGCAGGAAGGGTTATTGTCACAGAGGGTCTGCATTCTGGAAGCTTTCATTGTTATTCAAATTGCCAGGTGCTCTGTTACCTTCCCACTTAGGTTGCAGGTACCAGCCCACCAGGCCTGCCAGCTGCAGACCCTCCTCACCCCGTGGGCCCTGCTTCCGATTCCAGGCTCAGCTCCTCTCTCACTAGGGCCAGCAGGGCAGCCTGCTGCTCCCCAGCCTGCCCAGGCCACTGCCCTGGACGAGAGGGGCTGGCTGTGTGGCCCTGTGGTCAGCAGCACAGGCCAAGCTCCACTGCTAGCTAGATAGGCAGTTTTGGGCTAGTGACATTGTCTCTCTGAGCTTCAGTTGCCTCATCAGCAAGTTGCAGGGACTAGTGGTCCCCACCCCTGAGGCTGCTGAGAGAACTGAGGCTACACACGCATGGGAAGTGCTTGGCACAGTGCCCGGCGCAGAGGAGATAATCAGGACCCTGCAGCTCTAATCTTGCCGGTTTGAGAATTAGGAATGATCTTCTATGTCAACTCCCCACAGCCTCGGGATCAGGTCCAGACACCTTCTGGCAGATGAAGGCCTTGTGGCTGCTGCCTCTCCATACTCACCCCTGCCGGGAGCATCTTGTGCCGCGACAGCCATGCTCCTTGTGATCCTCTGAATGGCCTTGGCTGAGGCTGTTCCATCTGCCCAGAGTGACCTGTCGTCCCAACAAACCTTGTCCAGGGCCCAGCTCTGTGGCTGCTCCCGATCACTTTTTCCCCAATCTCCACCCCGGCCAGGGCCCCAAGACTGCTAGACACTCACCACTGACACAGCGTGGGTCTGCTGCTCTTGTTTTGGGGTCCTGGTGTGGCTCCCCCACCAGCTTGGAGCCCTCGAGGGCAGGGCCCGCACCTGACTCAGTTCTGAGCCCCCAGCACCCAGCCCAGGCCTGGCGAAGGCGCCACAGTTTTGGCTTATTGGAAGGCCTAGTGCGAGGGGCCAAGAGTTGACACTGAGTGAGGGGAGCACTGGTGGGCCTGGGCCTCGGGGTCTACGGGACTGGCAATGAGGGGCAAGGCGACCTGCAGAGTGCCTAGGAGGACACGTGACTCCCGCATCAGGGCAGGCGAGTGCTCTCCGTGGCAGGAGTCGATGGCCACACAGGAACAGCTTCCTGCACTCACAGGCTACAGCCCCGCATGTGACCAAGGCGTGCTTGCCATGAAAGCAGAACAAGAGTTGACATTTGCCAAAGATTCCTTCCAGAAGGCTGTGCAATGTGGAAGCGTTCCCGGGGCTACTGTGGGCTGATGGGCTGGGCTGTGTCCACAGGAGTGATAGCCCTGCTGGGCAGCGGTGAGGATGGCCTACAGTGGTATTAGGTGGGTGCCTAAGGCCCAGAGAGGTTAATGACTTGCCCAGGGTCACACAGCTTGTGAGGGGCAGAGCTGGGACCTGAACCCGGGCTTGTCTGACACTGAGGCCGTGGACATCTCTGCCATGGGACTCTACGGTGCTGTGTGGTACAGGGTGTTACAAAGGCCTGTGGGAGTCAGACAAGCTGCGCTGAAGGGGCGCCCAGTGAGTGAGGTCTTGAAGGATGTGTAGGAGTTTTCTAGGTGGAGATAGGGGAGGGTGTTCCCAGTAATGTGAAGAACACACTGGGGCTTTCTGGAAAGACTCCTTTGGAGTGGAGACCATAAAACTGAAAGCGGTAAGAGTCCTGTTGGTAAGAGGCCCTGAGGCCCAGCTAAGACATCAAAATTTTACCCTCTAAGAAACTGTAAGTAGAATGTTTTTTTTAAAAAGTCATTGATTTTGAAATATTTCATTTTCTGCAAGAGAATCTAGTATATATACGTATATATGTGTGTATATATATATACATATATGTGTGTATATATACACATACATATGTATACACATATATGTATATATATGAGGTATAAAAAGTAATGAAGCAAACACCACATTTTCACCACTGGCATGAGAAATAGAGCCGCGTCAATGCCATAGCGACCCTCAGCATGCCCCAGTGGCACACCTCCCCTCCTGGGTCCACCAGCCTGAATTTGGTGCTTGTCATTCCCAAACGGAGGTGTATCCCCAGGGAGTGACCAAAGCTGCTTTGCCCTCCAGGGACACCGCTCTGGGGAATGCAAAGACTGCCACACAGGGGCAGCCATCGGGAGGCCTCTGCCAAAGTCGGGTGAGGCTGCCCCCACCCCAGAATGGACAACCTCTTTAACATATCAGCCTGCAGCAGCAAAAAGGAGTGAGGAGGGGCATGGCTGCTGCCACCCTTATCCCAGAAGGGCCACCATGGGCCAGGAAGTCCAGACTGTGGCCCACAGGCAAGGGTTTGGCTCTGCGTTGTAAAAGTTTTCCAGGGAACTGAGCAGCTTAAAAGGGAATGGCCTGTAAAGGAGTGAGCTTACCATTCCTGGGGGAAACCAAGCAGAGGCCTCGACCATCACCTGGACCTCCTCTCCAAGCCTCCTCTGACTTTGTCCCTCTTCCCTCAGCCCCTGGGCTCCCTCTGTTCCAACCTTTTCCAGCCTAATGGCACCGTCCGTGCCTGCAGACAGGGTCTCCAAGGCCAGAGACTGAATAGTCACCAGGTCCTGGGCTGAGAATGAGTCCATGTCACATTCTTCCCTTCCTGTGCAGCATGGAGGTTGGAGATGGGCTCTTGGGTCAGGCCGTAACTGAACCCATGTCCAGCCTCTTGCAGAATCCAATGAACAGAGAGAGGTCTGGTAGAAAGAAAGGGACTTTATCCCAGAGCTTGGTTAAGGGGGAACATACAGGCTCCTGACTTAAGGGAATTGCTTCAGCTTTTGGGGAGGAAAGTGGAGTCTTTAAAAGGGAACTTGGTGTGAAAAGCATGCAGGGGAGGGGGTGAGGAGGTGCGGGGTCCACCTGACTTGCTTCTGTGTCTTCTCAATTGGGTAGTCTGGAGGGCGCCATGGTGGACAGAGCTAAGCTGTAAGCTGTTGTCTCGAGCCAATCTCCTGGTGGGGGAGAATCCCGGAGGGTGCCTGGTTTGGTTCAACATTTTGTCCTGAGAATTTCTAAGCAAATCGAACTATAGTTAGATACGCTTGCAGTGCAGGGAGTGCCTGGTGGAGAGGAGGTAAATGTTACAATTGCATTCCTGAAGAGCTAAGAGGTGAACACACAGGGAAAAAGAAAAAAGGTAAAGATAAGTTCTAGGAAAATTGGACACTTGGTTGCAAGCCCTCCTAAGCTGAAATTCTGACATTGTGGTCCAGCCACCACAAAGATCAGAAGAACCTTGGGTCATCTGCTCTATTTTGGTACATATATTTCTATTAATGCAACCCAAAGTCCTCTTCCTTCTCAGCTTCCCTTGGCATGTGAGAATATCTGCCTGTCCCCACACACAGCCATGCCATGCACAAGCCCAGGGGCAGGAAGCACTTCTCAGAACCCATTTGTGCAACCGAGGGCTCCACCCAGGAAGCAGCCCCCATCCTGCTCTTTCCCAGCTCCCTTGGGCCTCTGGCTGTTTCTTTTTTTTTTTCCAATAATTTTTTTTTTTTTGAGACAGAGTCTTGCTCTGTTGCCCAGGCTGGAGTGCAGTGGCGCAATATTGGCTCAACTGCAACCTTCACCTCCCGGGTTCAAGTGATTTTCCTGCCTCAGCCTCCTGAGTAGCTGGGATTACAGGTGTGCACCATTGCCTCTGGCTAATTTTTGTATTTTTAGTAGAGATGGGGTTTCACCATGTTTGAGCTGGTCTCGAACTCCTGACCTCGTGATCCACCCACCTCAGCCTCCCAAAGTGCTGGGATTACAGGCGTGAGCCACTGCCCCTGGCCTGCTTCTGGCCATTTCTACCATGTGGCCACCCTGTTGTAAGTTTCCACCTAAGAACATAGGAGGGCAGGTGAGGACGCGCTTCCCTTTTTCACTTGCCTTGTGTGATGTTCTCAGCTTTTCAGCCTCATGGTCGAGTCAGCCAGGCTTCATTCTGGTTTCCAACCCTTAGGTCTAGAATGTTGAGCTGGTCACACCTCCTGGTCCCTAGCTCCAACATCAGTGGCTGTGATGGGTCCCTTACTGTACCTGCCCATTCTCCCACCCTCCAAGCCTACTCCGTCCACCCCACTCTTTCATCTTAATTGAGTGTGATGCCCAAATTATGCACAATGCTGGGAACATGGAAGTGTTTTCACTTGTCATGTATAGTATTTCTCACCTTTGACCCAACGTTTTATGTGCAAGACCTATGCATTCTGCCATAGGCGCTCTTGCACCCTCACTTCTGAGAACTGTATGGAAGACTGTATAGGCACCATGGAATACTATGCAGCCATAAAAAAGAACAAGATCATGTCCTTTGCAGGGACATGCATGGAGCTGGAAGCCATTATTCTTAGCAAACTAACACAGGAACAGAAAACCCAATACCACATGCTCTCACTTATAAGCGGGAGCTAAATGATGAGAACACATGGATACATAGAGGGGAAGGACACACACTGGGGCCCACTGAAGGGCGGAAGGTGGGAGGAGGGGGAGGACCAGGAAAAAATAACTAATGGGTACTAGGTTTCATGTCTGGGTGATGAAATAATCTGTACAACAAACCCCCATGACACACATTTAGCTGTGTCACAAACCTGCACGTCCTGCACGTGTACCCCTGAACTTAAAAGATTTGTGTTCGTTTTTGAGACAGAGTCTCGCTCTGCCATCCAGGCTGGAGTGCAGTGGCGCGATCTCAGCTCACTGCAACCTCCACCCCCTGGATTCGAGTGATTTTCCTGCCTCAGCCTCCCAAGTAGCTGGGACTACAGGTGCCTATCACCATGCCTGGCTAAGTTTTGTATTTATTTAGAGACGGAGTTTCATTCTTATTGCCCAGGCTGGAGTGCAATGGCACGATCTCAGCTCACCGCAACCTCCGCCTCCTGGGTTCAAGCAGTTCTTCTGCCTCAGCCTCCTGAGTAGCTGGGATTACAGGTGCACGCCACCATGCCCAGCTTATTTTTGTGTTTTTAGTAGAGATGGGGTTTCAACATGTTGGTCAGGCTGGTTTTGAACTCCTGACCTGGTGATCCGCCTGCCTCGGCCTCCCAAAATGCTGGGATTATAGGCGTGAGCCACCGTGCCCGGCCTTAAACGTTTCTTAAAAAGAAGCAGCTCATGCTAATGCAGTTCCCTAGGAAGGTGACGGGTTGCCCCTGAAGACCAGCTCCCGGGCTTCTTTGGGAAGTACACAGAGAGAGGTTGCCGGATCGTCCACAGAGCATGGTGGTGAGTCCCCTTCGCGGGTGTTCACTTACCTTTCAAATCATCTGATCTCCTAAGTTTGGCCGATTTGATGGATTTAAAGTGACATCTCACTGTCTTACGAATTTTGTTATCTAGGTAATGAATAGATTTTTTTTAAAGCAGTTTTAGGTTTACAGAAAAATTGAGCGGAAAGTACAGAAATTGCCCAGGGGAGGAAGGGTGGGAATTCAAGACTAAGGTTCAGGGCAGAGGGCTCAGCGTGTAAGTGGCATTAATGCCACAAATCATGAATCTCAATGACTAACACCCAGGAAAGGAAAGCAGAGCATGGGAGGTGGCTGAGGACAGCTGCCCAAGCCTGCCTGGTCTCTGCATGGCTCTCCATTGTGCAGGAGCTGTTGTTTTTGACCTGGCATCCTGCTGATGGAGACTTCACTGATCCTAATCTTCTGCTGTGACCCACCTTTGTGTGATGAATGTGCTTGTACCTATGTTGCCCTTGTGAGCATGTCTGTAGGATAATCGTTACGTGAGACTGCTGGGTCAGAGGATGTGGGCATCTGTACCGTAGGCATGTGTCAAATTGCCTTCCAAAGAAATGACCCCAGCATCCCCCCCACCAGCAGTGAAGCAGAAACCCAAACCAGCAAATGCATTGGGTGCTCAGCCCTTTTGATCAGTGTCAGGGTGGCAAGTGAAGGAATGCGGATGCTCCCTTTTGTCTGCGCTCTGAAATCCTCTCTCATTATGGCTTTAATTTGCATTTCTCTTATTTTAGAGTTTGGATTTGCTGTTTGACAGTTTCTCTCTTTCTTCTTGGCAACTGGTCTGTTTAGATTCTCCCTTCCCGGATCCTTTGGGTAATTTCTCTTTTCTTGGAAATTGATCCATTTCTTGGAGGCTTCCTGGTTTCTGTAGAGTTGAGCAGGCAGTCGCTTTTGTTCTTCTGTTTGTTCAGTTCATCTTAATTGAGTGCTGACCCTGTGCTGGGCATCGTTATTGGCCCTGGGGATATAGTCATGGGCCAAAAGCAGCAAAAAGCCTGCTTTTATGGAGACTGCAGACAGTTTTTAAAATGTTTATGTGAAATATATGGACTTTTAGACAGCGATAATGCATTTGAGGTAAAGGATAATTTTAAACATGTGGCCAAGGGCTCACTAAAAAGGTGACTTAAAGGAGATCAGGGATTCAGCCTTGGGTTTATCTGGGAGAAGAGACAGGAGCATGCTGGTACAGATGGTGTATTAGTCAGTGTGCTCCAGAGGAACAGAACCAATCGCATATAGACACATATGAAGACACACACTGTAGGTAATTGGCTCCTGCAGCTATGCAGGTTGAGGAATCCAAAGGTCTGCAGTTAGCAAGCTGGGGACCCAAAAGAGCCGATGATGTGAGTTCCAGTGTCAGTCGAGGGCCTGAGACCCAGGAGAGCCAATGGTGAGAGTTCCAGTTTGATTTGAAGGTCTGAGACCCAGGAGAGCTGATGGTGTGAGTTCCTGTTTGATTTGAGGGTCTGAGACCCAGAAGAGCTGATGGTGTGAGTTCCAGTGTGAGTCGATGGCCTGAGACCCAAGAGAGCTGATGGTGTGAGTTCCAGTGTGGTCGAGGGCCTGAGTCCCAGGAGAACCCATGGTGTGAGTTCCAGTGTGAGTCGAGGACCTGAGACCCAGGAGAGCTGATGGCATGAGTTCCACTATGAGTCAAGGGCCTGAGAGCCAGGAGAGCCAATGGTGTGAATTTCAGTCCCACCCTGAGTCTAAAGGGAGGAGAAGAACGATGTCCCCACTTAAAGGCAGGCAGAGAGTGTGAATTCCCCCTTACTTGTTGGTTCTGTTTAGGTCTCCAGCAGGTTGGATGAGGCCACCTGCACAGGGGAGGACACTGTTTTCCTCCATCTGCCAGGTCACATGTTCCTCTCATCATGAAACACCTTCACAACACACCCAGAAAAATATCCCACCAAATATCAGGGCACCCTGTGGCCCAGTCAAATTGACACTAAACAAACCATTACCGTTGGAGTGGAGAGAATGAAAAGGAAAAGAGTGAGGAATAGGACAGGGAGGTGATGGGGTGGGAAGGGCTTTAGCTTCTACTCTTAGTGAATCTGGGAGCCACTGAGGGTTTTGAGGAAAGGGGTGGCATAATTGGACTTAGGTTTTCACAGGGCTTCTCTGGCTGCTGTGTTGAGAGCAGATGGAAGGGGCTGACCAGCACAGACACCCACTGCAAGAATCCTGCTAGTGTGGACCACAGTAGGAGTGGTGGAGGCAGCAGGAAGTGTAAGGCTTGTTGAGATTCCAAAGGAAGGGCCAATGGGATTTGCTCCTGGGTTGGATGTGGAGTGTGAGAGGAAAAGAGGGGTCAAAGATGACTCCAGGCCTCTGAGGAGAGCAACTGACAGGATGGAGTTGTATTTCCTGAGGTCAGAAAAATTGTGGGAAAAGCTAGATGGGGGAGGAAGGTTGGGATTTTCGTTTGGGATATATTAAGTTTGAGGTGTCTATTAAATATCAATTTGGTGACATCGAGTAGACACGTTGGCCATCAGAATGGAGTTTAGATGAGAGTTTGAGGCTCAAAAGTCATCAGCGTATCTCCAGCCTGGGTGACAGAGTGAAATTCCAGCTCCATCTCAAAAAAAAAAAAATCAACATATGCTGTTTAAATCCTTGGGAAGAGATGAGGTCCATGAGTGAGTAGAAAGAGTGAAGAGGAGGTCAGGAAGATGTGGACGGACCAACAAGGGGCTGGAGCAGGAGCAGTGGGAGGAGGAGGAGGACCAGGAGAGGGGAGTGCAGTGTCCTGGAAGCAGGTGGAGTGATCACTTGAGTCAATGCTGCTGTGAGGATGAGTGAAAGGGGGACTGAGAATTGACTACTGGGTTTATTAACATGGAGGTCTTTGGTGACCTTGACAAGGGCAAATTCTGCAGAGAAGTTGGAAGAAAAGCCTGTTGGGAGGGGCTAAGGGATGGTGAGAAGTGAAACTGGAGAGCAAAAGTGCAGAGAATCCTTCCAAGCAGTCACCTCCACCTTCTATGTATTATATCTCCTGCTTCATTAGATTCCCCAGCAGGAACATGTCTCACTATTTTTCAAAGAACGAGTAGTTGGGGCCAGGGATGGTGGCTCTTGCCTGTAATTCCAGCATTTTGGGAGGCCAAGGCAGGGGGATTGCTTGAGGCCAGGAGATCAAGATCAGCCTGGGCAAAACAGCAAGACCCCATCCCTACAAAGAATTTTTATTTAATTAGCTGGGTGTAGTGGTGCACACCTGTAGTCTTAGCTACACAGGAGGCAGGGGCAGGGGAATCACTTGAGCCCAGGAGTTTGAGGTTGCAGGGAACTATGATTGCACCATTGCACTCCAGCTAGGGTGACAGAGCAAGAGCCTGTCTCTAAAAAAATAAAATAATTTAAAAATTAAAAAAAGAACATGGAGTTATTTATGAGTTCCTTTCTTCTGCTGTTAACTCCATTTCTGTTTTCATCTATTTATTGCTATTGTATGTCTTTCTTAGGTTTGTCTTTCTTTTCTTTTTGAGTTGGGCAATTCATGCTTTCTAATTTATTAATAAGATCAGTGTTTTAAGGCTATATATGTTCCTCTTAGCATTGGCTCGTCTGCATCCCACAGGTCCTTAAATATATATTTTGTTATAGTCTAGATATTCTGCAGTTTTTATTTTTTGCTGTCTGTAACTCAAGTTTATTTAAGTGTTTATAGACTTCTTGGTGGCAAAGTTTGGTTTGGTCTGTGGTTTCATTATTAGTATTTTCAAATTCTAGTATATTGTGATCAGAGAATGTTGTCTTTTTTCTATTTTTTGGAATTTACTTTCTTTGTGGCCTGATAGTCACTTTTGTGTATGCACTTTCAAGAGCATTTGAATAGAATGAAGGTAGACTGTGTTTTACACACACACACACACACACACACACACAGAGTTGTTAATTAGATTATTTGGCTCCCTATCTCCTTACTTTTGTTTTTGCCAACTGCATATGGAATGGATTGAGAAAGGTGAATTAAAATGCACTAGGCAGGGCGTGGTGGCTCATGCCTGTAATCCCAGCACTTTGGGAGGCTGAGGTGGGCGGATCACCTGTGGTCAGGAGTTCGAGACCAGACTGGCCAACATGGTGAAATCTCATTTCTACTAAAAAGTCAAAAAAAAAAAAATTAGCCGAGCATGGTGGCGAGCACCTGTTATCCCAGCTACTCAGGAGGCTGAGGCAGGAGAATGGCTTGAACCCAAGAGGCAGAGGTTATAGTGAGCTGAGATCATACCATTGCACTCCAGCCTGGGCAACAGAGTGAGACTCTGTCTTTAAAAAAAGTAAAAAAAAAGCACTAATGCTAGCATACTCTGCTTTTTCTCCCTAAATTTCCAGTCTTGCTCTATGAATATTGAGGCTATGCTATTTGGTACATGAACATTCATTACTGTTAGATCTTCATGGTGACTCTCATCCTTCACCCTCACACAGTGCCCTTCTTTTTTCTCATTCAATATGTTTTGCCCTGACTTCAGCTTTGTCTGATATTAAGATTATGACCCCTGATTTAGCTTCATTTGCATTTGTTTGTTATGCTTCTGCTCATCCTTTTTTTAAAATTATGGTAAAATGCACATAACATTTACCATTTTAACTATTTTTAAAGTATACAGTTCAGGGGTATTAAGTACTTCTCACTGTAGTGCAACCATCACCATCATCCACCTGCAGAACTTTATAAAAATCATCTGCCCTTTTTTTTTTTTTTTTTCAGACAGAGTCTCCTGGGTTCAAGCGATTCTCCTGCTTCAGCCTCCCGAGTAGCTGGGACTGCATGCACCCACCACCATGCCTGGCTAATTTATTTGTATTTTTAGTAGAGACGGGGTTTCATCATGTTGGCCAGGCTGGTCTTGAACTCCTGACCTCGTGATCTACCTGCCTTGGCCTCCCAAAGTGCTGAGATTACAGGTGTGAGCCACCATGCCCGGCCCTGCCCATCCTTTTCTATGAAACCTTGCTGAATCATTCTACCTTCAGTGCCCTTGTTTGTGATCCAGTCTCTTTTTTTTTTTTTTTTTTTTTAAGCAAGTGTGTATGGCTCACTAACATTTACAGATATGGCAGATGCATTTGGTCTTAGTTCTGTCATCATTGTTTGATAGGCTTTCTGCTTTTATAGTTTTGTGGGGGTTGTCAGTTTTCACCATACGGTCTCTGTTGTCTTTGTTTTATTTTCTGTGTGTATGTCTTCTGATAATTTGGAAAGCTGCGTTTTTGATCCCATGGTTATCTTCATAATTATAATATGACATGATATCTTTAATCCTTTTATTTCTCTAGACAGCGCTTATTTTCTCCCTACTGTGAACAATATCAAAATTAGAATATTTCTACTTTCCCTCTTCTTGTCTCCCTTCCATCAAGTTATTTTAGTTGATTATTTTTTGTTTACCTTGATGCCTCTAATTTTACTTAGACTTCTAAGCAATAATTTAGACCTCCAACTATATATGAATATGACATAGTTTACTTGTATTACCTCTCTCCTTCTCACCTCCACCCCTCCTACTTTTTATTATTTATGCCAGTTCTGTTTTGTTTCATTCTTCTCTGTGATGGTCATAATCTTTAGATTGGCTTTAATAGTCCTGCAGTTACACAAATTCTGTGCTCATTGCTGGCACTCTTGGCAGTGCTCCATTTACAACTTGACCCCTGATTTCTCTTCATTTGCATTTGTTATGCTTCTGCTCATCCTTTTTATGAATTGTGGTAGAATGCACATAACATATAACCATTTTAACCATTTTTAAGTATACAGTTCAGGGGCATTAAGTACCTTCTCACTGTAGGGCAACTGATATGGTTTGGCTGTGGCTGTACCCAAAGCTCATCTTGAATTGTAACTCCCACAATTCCCATGTGTCATGGGAGGAACCCAGTGGGAGGTAATTGAATCATGGGGGCAAGTCTTTCCCATGCTGTTTTCATGATAGTGAATAAATTTCATGAGGTCTGATGGGAATTTTCCTGCACAAGCTCGCTCACTCTCTCTGTCCCTTTGCCTGCCACCATCCACATAAGACGTGACTTGCTCCTCCTTGCCTTTCACCATGATTGTGAGGCCTCCCCAGCCATGTGGAACTGTAAGTCCAGTTAAGCCTCTTTCTTTTGTAAATTGCTTGGGTATGTCTTTATCAGCAGCATGAAAATGGATTAATACAGCAGCCATCACTGCCATCTATCCACAGAACTTTTAAAAAAATCATCTGCCCATCCTTTTACATTAAACTTTTCTGAATCATTCTTGATTTGCCTAAGGGTGTCCTTAATTTTTTTAAGAAGGGGTCATGGGAACTATAATTCAAAAATATGTTCAACATGTTTTTCTGTTGACTTTATATTTGAAAGATGGTTCATTGGGCTTTAAATTCTTGGTTCATTCATTTATTTGATAAACATTATTAAGCCCCTACAGTATGCCAGTTACTGTCCTAGGCCCTGGCAATGCAGCAATGTGTAAAACACACAATCACCTTAACCCTCTTGTAGCTAACTTTCTATGTGGGGAAGACAAACAATAAATTATTCAAGTAAGTACAATAGGTGGTATGCTGGATAGAGGTGTGTGCTATGGAGAAAAAAAAGTCGGTGATGGAGAGTACCTGGCTTTGTTCTGTGAAGCTGAGGAGATGGCCCCACGGAATCTCTCACCCTTAGCCCCTGTACACATTCCCACTGATGCAAAGAGTGGAGAGTAGGTTCTCCTTCTTGGCGTATCTCTCACTCTGGGGAGGTGGGCTTTGCTGGCTTTGTCGGAGCCACTCCCTTGACTTCTCCATTTGCCCAAAAAACATGTAGTTTGGTTGAAGATGGTTTATCAGTTAAGAACTGTCACCAGTTGCAATTTATGCAAGTAAAGGAAATTTGACTGCAGTGGTGTGGAGGGGGCAGTCCAGGGCTGCCACCAGAACCCAGTTTCTCCCTGCCTTCTACTCCACCTGTGTTAGTGAGCATCCTTCATTCTCATGCATGCAAGATAGTTCATCTTCCCCTGGATTTATGTCCCCTTCCCAATAGACTCCCACTTACATGACATTGGCCAGACTGGGTCATGTGACCACCCCTGCTTGCAAGGGAGTCTGGGAAGGTAAGTAGTTGTGGCTGGGCAATTGCTCTTGTAATAGACACAGGGCAGTGGGGTTCATGCTGCCTGCCACAGATGGAGTTTGTATTTCTTTTCCTCATTGTCTTGTTTGCAACTTGACTCTGCCATTCAAAGCTATAAGTGCCCAGCAGACCTGTTTCCACACTGTAGATCTTGTTCCACTGCTCTCCTGGCTCTTCCCTATTCCAGGAGCATCTTGGTATCTTCTCTATAGCTTTGTATGACATGGTCATGGTCATATCTTAGTGTCATTCCAAAATACAGGATCGTTTTTGTCAGTATGAATGGTATCTGTATCTGTGTTTAATATTTAGTTTGTTATAGCAAGGGTGACAGTATAATTTATCATCCAAATCAGAATACTTTTGAGGGTAAAAGGGGAACAACATTAAAAATTATGTCAGAACAACAAGTGTCAACTGAGACTGTCCCAAGCCATGACATATAATTACCCTAGTAACTGCTGAGGTCAATGCACACTGTTGCATTTTATAAATTGATCTGATGTCTTACAGGTTGACTATTATACCTCTATGTATGCACTCTCCATTCTACTAATTAACCTGTTGATTCTATTAAATTTTCTATGTAAGTTATCCACAATTAACTGTAATTTTGGTTCTTCTATTCCAGTCCTAGTCTATGCTTTTTTTTCTTGCCTTATTGCATGAGCCAGAGCTCTAGTACTATATGGAGCTATAATGATAGCGACATTTTTGTCTCGCTTCCAGTCTTAAAGTCACATGGTTCACAACGTTCAGAAGACAAAACCCATGTGTTCAGAGGAAACCTGGATTCTTCTGGCACTGAGGCCAGAGAGAAATGTCCCCAGTGAGTCCCCATTGAGGAGACACCATGTGATATTTTTTTTCCTTGTATTTCCTCCAGAAAACCCTTTTGCTGTGCCTCAGGATGGGGGAGATGAGATCTGAAATACCCAGTGCAGCCTCCGAGAAGGACAACTTCTACAGAGATGCCAGGGACAGCCGAGGTGGTAGAGAAGGGAATGCTGCCTGTGCCCAAAGCCCCCTTCTGCGGACTTCTAAGATTACGAGCAAACTCAGGGGTAGGGGCTGGGGGTGCAGGGGAGGGGATTCTGAGCCACCTGTCCACAAGCGATAGTCCTGTTTTGGGCTGGTGGCTTCTGAGAGGTGACTCATTGTGGCCTCAGGATGACCAAGACAAAGCAACTCTGGCTGATTCCAGCCAGGAGGATTGAGGCCTGTGAGTTATACCTGTGGTTGAAAACCGAAGCTTCCCTTGCCCCTGCTCCCTCCAATAGCGGCCCCTTGGGGCTATTTGTGTCAGAATATTGAATGTGCGTGTGTGTGTGTGTGTGTGTGCGCGCGCGCGTGTGATTTGGGGTGTTCTTGTTTGGTTGGTTGGTTTTTATTGGGGCTTCCCCCCTCAAGTTCTCTGATGGGCGCGGGTTACCTTCTGGCTGGGGGTTCTCATCCGTGTCAATGTTCAGGCTGCAAGCTTCTTGCTAAGCACAGGGTACAGCCCCTCTGTGTCTCAGGGAGCACTGGGGATTTGAAAATGCCAGTCAGGGTTGGTTCTTACAGAATTCATTCCTGTAACAAAAATACTCAGGGACGCATCTCAGGCTGACCACAGGGCAGGTACCAAGTTAAGTGTTTTCATGCACTCTCCCTCTCACCACGTGGGAGGCAGGTATGATTAACCCCCTGCAGAAAAAGCTGCAGAAAAAGCTCACAGTGGGGAAGGGGGGTGCCCAGGCGCCACATGGCCAGGAGGAGACCAACCCCTCGTTTGACCTCAGGGGTGCAGGAACCCAAAGTCCAGGCTCCAACTCCCTGGACATGACGTGATCCCCAGCCAGGGCACACCCTGCACAATGCCAGGAGCATCTCCTTGATGCCTCCACAGGCTGTCGCCCTGAGTTCTCCACCATCACCGCCGAGAGCGCTGATCCACTCAGCACATTCTGGCTAAGCACCTGCTGTGCGCCAGGCCCCATGCTGGGCAGTGATGGGGACAGAAGATGAGTCAGACCTCATCTCTGCCCCTGGGGAGCCTCCCATCTGGTGGGAGACACAGACACATGGATCTTTGCTGGGCAGGGTAACGAGGCTATGGAAACCCAGAGAGGAGGGTTCTAGAAATCCACCCGCTTTGAATTGGGACTTCCACATAAGCCTAGATGCCCGTAACATCCACCCACAGAGCTAATCACCTCCACTCCTGCCCCGGGGCACCTATGAGATGGATGGCATCACCTAAATGATCACAAACATCTCCAAAGGCCACGCTGCCAGTGTAGACACACTCATTCCATGGGTGTTAGTGATACCAAATCTCCCCCAGTTCTTAGCTCAGGAGGCCCTGCTTAATAAACATGTGTGTCCTCTGACCCAGTTTCCTCATTTCATCAGACCTAGTGTTCTCACACTGACTGCCCATCCATTCACCAGACACAACAGTGAGCAAGGCAGGTCCCTGCTCACTGTGCTGGCTTTCTAGCTGGGGCGGGAATACAGTGAAGGTGGCAAGGGCGGCGAGTGTTCTGCCGGGAACTCAGTTCGAGGGACAAGTGAGTGAGACCCTCGTGGACCTGGGGTGGTCTGGGAAGGCCTTATTGAGCAGATGATTGAAGGCCAGATTTGAATGACACACAGGACCGAGTAATGGGCGTTAAAGATAGGAAAAGAGCATTCCAGGCAGAAGGAACAGCTAGTGCAAAGGCCCTGTGGCAGGCACAGGCTTGGTGGTTTCAAGGAAGCATAAGAAAGCCAGGTGGCTGGGACCCAGAGGGAAGGCAGGAGATGAGGGCAAGAGTGCCCAGCCCTGGGCTCCACTGTGAGTCACACTGTGCAAACAATGCCCTGCGTTTGGAAAAGCAGAACAAACTTGCTAGGGCATAAAGCATCCTCCATTCTCCCTGGCTCTTCATCCTCTCAACAGCCCCATGAAGAAGGGGCTCTCCCCATTTTATGGATGAGAAGACAGACTCAGCCGGGTCAAGTGGCTTGCCCAGGGTCACACAGGTCAGCTGTGGAAGACCCAGGCCCCTGGCCTCAGTCTTTGGGTCCAGCTGTCTCCTCCAGGCAGTGTTGCCAGTGTCCAGGCATATGGCTTGGCAGAGGCAAAGTGGGAGAACCTGTGCTGGGGGGTCTCAATTAGAGAAAGGCATGGCTTCCTCTCCCCTGACATGAGCAATCCCAGGGCACCCCCCAGGCCCATGTTGCCATAAGGGGGTGCACAGCCTGTCTGCTAGCCCAGCTGGGGCAGCCACAGCTGTGTCCCACGTGCAGTGCCTTGGAAGGCAGAGGAAGCCTTGGGGTGGGGGCCCAAGACCCAGATTCTGACATCAGCTCTGCCACTGAGAGCAGCGGGACCTCAGGCAAGGTCTGTTCCCTCAGTTTCCCCATCAGTAAGAGGAAGGAGTCAGATGGGTATTTAAGGAGTTTGCAACCCTCATGTCCTGCTGTCCTGGATGATGCTCTATAGGTGCTTACTCTGCCAAAAAGGAACTGGTGGCCTTGCCTCCCTCTCCTGGACACCTAAGGTCACAGGTCACTGCCAAACAGACAGAGCTGGAGTTCACGTAAGCATCCCTTGAGATTTACAACCTTCTAGGAGGACATTCCTTCTGCCACCCCCCCCATCCCCCGTCCTCCCTCCCCCCTCCCCACCCCGCTGCCACCCAGAGGTCTTTTCAGGAATAACTGAAAAACTCATGGGGTTTGTGGTCCTGCTGCTCTGCCAAGTCCCTCTTGGGCAGCTGGGCTGAGGACTGGAACATTCTGTGGCAAGGAAGAGGCCTCAGCAGAGATCACCGAGACCCAGCACACATGGTATAGATAGCTTGCAGCAAAGGCAGGTGCAGAGTGCAGCCAGCCACAGCACCCTCCTTCCCGCAGGTCACCCCCACAAGCCACTTAACCTCTCAGAGCCTCTGCTTCTTATCTGTCAAATGTGTGAGGTGGGGTGCCAGGGGGTCACGGCCCTTGCTGTCTCATGGAGGAGCCGAGGGGTGAGAAGTGTGCACTTGGGTGTGAACACTCGGTGTGGAAAGCAGGTGTGTGTGTGTATTCAATCCCCCAGTGGTGTCAAGGGCTCCTGAAAACCCCGTGGGTCCCCAGGTCATTGTGATAAACACTGTCCCCATCCTGCTGTGGTTATGGCTGGCAGGTCCTTCAATGAGTAGAGTGTCCCTGAGAAACAAGATGCAGGGTAGTGACAAGTTCAAGCATAGATTTCTAGAGTTACCGGTTTTTAGCAACTCAACCTGATTTTTTAAGCTGCCTACTCTTACTTTTTGCTGTGAGCTTCTGTCCATCACCATGTAATTTGTAATAATAATAATACAAAAAAACACAAGAGGATAAGATGTCCACAGAGGAATCTGCATTCGAGGCTGCTTTGCAGAACTACCGCGTTTGTAAGGACTGTTTCTCACTGGGAACTGTGTGTGATTCACGAGCAGTTTTATGCTTTCCCTCTCATCTGTGTATGGTGTGATTATTGTGTGTTTTGGAATCTCTATTCAGAACCAATAGCTGGTAGTGCCTGCTGGCTCGCTGCCCTCATGTTAGCCTCTGAACATGCCCTGCACCTAGAGAAGCAGCCTGCTCACCCACCTCACCTGTACCCTCCAGCTGCCAGGCCAGCAGCTGACCATAACCATTGCTGAAATTAGCATAACATGAACACAGGAGGCAGAGCTTGCAGTGAGCTGAAATCATACCACTGCACTCTAGTCTGGGCGACAGAGTGAGACTGTCTAGGTAGGTAGGTAAGAAGGAAGGAAGGAATAACAGACCTGGATGAAGTTATTGGGAACATGTGCAACAGGCCTCAATTGAAAACAAGTACATACATGCACACATGCATACATATGCATACATGGGTGCACACACACCCAGCTGTGCATGCACACACATGCATGGACACACAAGCACATGCCCTCACACACATACATGTGATTTCATAGGTAGATCTGGTCCCTCTTGCTGTCTCCAATGCTCTAGAAAGCAGCAAGTAGGCAGCTGACAGTGTTCCCAGGGTGGGTGGCATCTCCCCTCATCATCAGAAAGATTCAAATGTGTCCCAGAGCTGAAGAGAAGGACTTGGGAATGTCAGGGGAAACACAGCCAGGAATGGGGGTTAACAGGCTTCTTTGGCCAGGAGATGGTTTCCAGTTAACCGTCATCCCAAAAGCTCTCTTCAGGTCATGTCAAACAGACTAGGGCTGTGGGTGTGGCTGAGCCTGACACTGACTCCCCCACAGGCCGCTGTCCAGGTCAGGTCAGGATTCCAGCCTGGTGGCGCCAGGCCCTTTACATCCCTCTAGCCGCTGTCCACACCCAGGCCCCTCCACTGGCGTGGCTGCCTTCGCAATCACCGTGTCTATCAGAGACTGCCATTCAAGGACATGGGGTTCCTGGAGGTGCAGACTTGTAAAATTTTTTAATTGGCTTATTTTAATTTTTCAACTTGGGTGTACTGGTCCCCATCAACAGGAAGAGCCTTCAGAAGTGAATTTACAGATTTCCCCCATGTTTGAAATTAACATAACGTGAACCCAGGAGGCAGAGCTTGCAGTGAGCTGAGATCGTACCAGTGCACTCCAGCCTGGGTGACAGAGTGACTCTAGGTAGGTAGGTAGGTAAGAAGGAAGGAAGGAATAACAGACCTGGATGCAGTTACTGGGAACATGTCTTATCAATGTTGAAGGGCCACCCATCACTGCAGGGAGACATCCACGTGGGTTGATTTTGTCTGCCGTGAAAATCTAGGGTTGGAAACATGTAAGAATCCCTGCAAACTGCAGGGATTCTTAATCATCCTGCTCACGTGGTGGGTATCAGAGGGTGTCTGCCTGGTCCCCACAGCATTGGGACAGTCAGGCCATGCCTGGATGACGCCCTAATCACTGCCCTTTGCAGTCCAGGAGTACATCACTGGGCTGGGGCCATGCCCTGTCCCCTCCGGAAGACAAGCCTGTGCACTTACTATGTACCAGATGCCAGGCACAGTGCCCTAGTTCCTTGCTGTAGCACCAACACGTCCCACACTGGTGCTTCAGTGCATGCAAACAACTTTGGGGGTTGTGACCCGAAAAGCTCAAATGTTAAGCAGTCAGGCGAGCTAGAAGAGGTCAGGATCCTCCTAGAAAACCCATTCAATGACATGGACTTCCCTCACCTATTCAACAGACACTTGCCGAACGCCTGCCACTTGCCTGGCCCTGTACCCAGGGCCCTTCTGGGAACCATTCCTGCTATAGCTGGGACCACCTGTGAAATGGCTATTTGTGCCTAACGGACACACTCAGATTCACAAAATGAATTCAGAAGTCCCACCCATGAAAGTGACCTTGGAGGTGTCATTGCTCCCACCACCCCAGTTTCTAGTCCAAACCCCTGGCCAACAGCTGATGCTAGATAAATGCTTGATGAAGAGCAGATTTGACTATTAGTTACTCTGTACCTAAAACTCCTATCTTCACATCAAAGCCCTGACAGATTTGCCCTTAACAGACTGAAATCCAGGGCTGCTGCAGGGTTCACAACCCTCCAGTAGGCACCATTCACGACACTGTACCATAAATGGTAATGGGCTCCCAGGGATACCGTTTACATAGACTGCACTGAGAATGGTTACCCTTGGGTTGGTACAATGAGGTACCCTGTTGAATGACCCTAAACCAGCCTCCCAAATATGCAGGATTCCACATTGGTCAGCGCCATCCCTGAGCACAGAATCAAAAACTATGGATGACATGGCCACCCTGGCCACAACTGGAACCAAGCTGGTGGCCCAAGAGAGAGCGCCTCTTCTTGGAATTGCATGTCAGTTTCTCATACCCAGTTTCTTCCTATTGTTCCCCATTTCCCGTTTTAAAGCTAGTAGCATACATCATAGTCAAATAACCAAGCGGTCAGTGTCTGGACAATGTGCAGTAACGAGGTGGGGGGCTGCAAGGGTGAGAGGCTCAGTCACCTTAACAAGGCAGGAGACCTCCCACAAAAGGGTGATGTGTCCTCCCCAGGGCCAGCCAGACAAGGGCATACAGCGGCAGGGGTTGGGGGATGGAAATATTTTCTCTCCTGTAAACTCTGGCTTCATGTGAGCAGGCATGGGGTCTCTCTGAGAGCTGATAACCAGGAAAACCAAAAACATTCCTAATAATACTGGAGTGTAACAATAATGAGTTTTTCACTGACCGCTGTTGCTCTTTTGTCTTTATATACAGTAGTTTTTGTTTTTTTTTTTTGAGACCGAGTCTTGCTCTGTCGCCCAGGCTGGAGTGCAGTGGTGCAATCTCGGGTCACTGCAAGCTCCGCCTCCCAGGTTCACGCCATTCTCCTGCCTCAGCCTGCCAAGTAGCTGGGACTAGCAGGCACCTGCCACCACACCTGGCTAATTTTTTGTATTTTTAGTAGAGATAGGGTTTCACCGTGTTAGCTAGGATGGTCTCGATCTCCTAACCTCGTGATCTGCCTGCCTCGGCCTCCCAAAGTGCTGGGATTACAGGCGTGAGCCACCGCGCCCGGCCTATATACAGTAATTTTTATAACAATGTCCCTAGGTTTTAATAAAGGAGTGTCATGTCAACTGTTCCCTAGATTGACGTTTGCTTCAATGTTTCAAAATGAGCTCAAGGGAACCTGTGCCCACATAATTTGTCATTCTGTAGGGGAGGATGGAGGACCAGGGACTGGGGTCCCAGCCAAGGTGGTGTTAGGGGGAACTGGGCACGTGAGTCCATCCTGCACACTCAATGCCAATGGCAGGTGGACGCCACCTCTAAAGGGGCAGGGGCAAGGTCAGAGAGGAGTGACAGTGCCCTGAATCTGGCACTGGCACCAGACGAGACAGAGCCGAAAGCACGTGGGGGGTGGGGGGACAGGGCCAATCACTGCAGACGGCATGCCTTCAGTGGCCCCTGGTGTGACATGCCATGTGCCTCTTGTTTCTCATCTCGTAGGCAAGGGGACAGAGTAACCACCTTTAATGAGCACCGTGCTCCTGAAAAGCCACCGTCCCTCACACTGGGACCGTGTGTCCCTCACGCTGAACACAGTTGATTCTGGCCCCACCCGCCAGCAGGAGAAGGGACAGGCTGCACAGTGGAGAAAAGCGGCACCAGATCTTGCAGCCCAGTCCCACCTCACCTGGGGCCCAGAGGCCCTCAACACCTGAAATCTGATGATGGGGATACCAGACTGCTGGCACCCCCAGGCAATGGATGGTGGCAAATACTGTTTTTCTCCAGAGAGGTCTCGTCATCCGATGCTTCAAAATATTTCTGCCAACAATTTGTTAAATATATCTTTCCTGGCACACAATCAGAGATCAGCAGGTACACAAGGCAGCAATGTGAAGAAGCAACAGAGGCACAAGGATTAGGAGACAGGCAGAGAGACTACAAGCCCGGGAGCAGTCAGACACGTGTCTTCACACAGCCACACTTGCTTACTGTGCTCCAAATACATAAAATCACATCTGAAACCCATAAAAAAAAGATACAGGAAAATTTTTAAAGAGCTGATTAGA
Organism: Homo sapiens; assembly: GCF_000001405.40. Taxonomy (NCBI): domain Eukaryota; kingdom Metazoa; phylum Chordata; class Mammalia; order Primates; family Hominidae; genus Homo; species Homo sapiens. The sequence goes on along the minus strand of NC_000022.11, from coordinate 32,305,182 downwards.
AACTGGAGAAATTTTTTTAAAAGTACATAATAACCCAAATTAAGGTCTCGGTACATGAGTTGAAAAGCAGATTACATAAGACAGTGTGGTATTGGCAAAAGAACAGACAATGAACAGAATATATAGCCCAGAAATAGACCTACATAAAATAGTCAACTGATCTTTGACAGAGGAGCAAAAGCAACAGAATGGAGGAAAAAATAGTCTTTTCAAGAAATGGTGCTGGAACAAGTGGACATTCACGTGGAAAAATACGAATCTGAACACAGACTTTACACTCCACAAAATTAACTCAAAATGGATCATAGACCTAAGTGAAAAAGAAAAAAAAACTGTAGAACTCCTAGAACATAGGAGAAAATCTAGATGACCTTGGTTTGGCAATGACTTGTTAGATACAACACCAAAGACACGATCTATGAAAGAGAGAATTGATAAGTTGGACTTCATTAAAATTAAACATTTCTGCTCTGTGAAATACTATCAAGAGAATGAAAAGACAAGCCAAAGAACGGGAGAAAATATTTGCAAAAAGACACAGCTGCTAAAGGGTCATTAGCCAAAATATACAAAGAATTCTTAAAACTCAACCATAAGAAAACAGAGCCAGGCACAGTGGCTTGCACCTGTCATTCCAGCTATTTGGGAGGCTGAGGCGGGAAGGTCACTTCAGCCCAGAAGTTCGAGATCAGCCTGGTAGCTACAGTGAGACCCTGTCTCAAAAAAGAAAAAGAAAAAACAAGCTGGGCATGGTAGCTCACGCCTGTAATCCCAGTACTTTTGAGAGGCTGAGGCGGGTGGATCACCTGAGGTCAGGAGTTCGAGACCAGTCTGACAAACATGGTGAAACCCCATCTCTGCTAAAAATACGGAAAAAAACCCCACAAAAATAGCCATGCATGGTGGCGCATGCCTGCAGTCCCAGCTATTTGGGAGGCTGAGGCAGGAGAATCACTTGAACCCAGGAGACAGAGGTTGCAGTAGGCTGAGATTGCACCATTGCACTCCACCCCGGATGACAGAGCAAGACTCTCAAAAAAAAGAAAGGAAAAGGAAACAACGTGATTAAAAAATGAGCCAAAGACCAAAGAAGATACACAGGCAGCAAATAAGCATCTGAAAAGATGCTCCATCTCATATGTCATCAGAAATGCAAATTAAAACAATGAGATACCATGACACACCTATTAGAATGGCCAAAATCCAGAACACCAGCAACACCAAATGCTGGTGAGAATGTGGAGAAACAGGAGCTCTCATTCACTGCTGTGGGAATGCAAAATGGTACCCACTTTGGAAGACAGTTTGGCAGTTTCTTACAAAACAAAACATATTTTTACCATCCGACTCAGCATTCACACTTCTTGGTATTTACCCAAAGGAGTTGACAACTTATGGCCACACAAAACCTGCACATGGGTGTTTATAGCTTTATTCATAATTGCCGAAACTTGGAAGAAACCAAGATGTCCATCTGTAGGTGGACAGATATAAACCGTGGTACATCCAGACAATACAAGATTATTCAATGCTAAAAAGAAATGAGGTATCAAGCCATTAAAAGACATGGAGGAAACAGATGCATATTACTGAGTGAAAGAAGCCAATCTGAAATTGTGATTGTCCCACAAGGAAATTCCTTGTGCACAAAGGACAGACAGAACTCAAAGTCCTCCTTCTGCTCACATGAGACAAATGCCATGTCTGATTTCCTTCCTCTGACCTATTGTTTCACTAAAGCCAAACTAAGGTAGAAGTGGCGGCTACTCTACGCCACCCCACATGTAGATTGTGTTTTTGGTGAAAGGCTGGCTGATCAGAGACTCAAAAGAATGCAAACATTTGTCTCTTACTTACCTATGACCCAGAAGTCCTTTACCCCACTTTGAGTTGTCCCACCTTTCTGGACCGAACCAATGTATACCTTACACATATTGATGATGTCTCATGTCTCCCTAAAATGTATAAAACCAAGCTGTGCCCCAGCCACCTTGGACACGTGTCGTGAGGATCTTCTGAAGCTGTGTCATGGGTGTGTCCTTAATCTTGGGAAAATAATCTTTCTAAATTGATTGAGATCTGTCTCAGAGACTTTTGGGTTCACACCCATATCCTGAAAACTACAAAACACTGCTTAAAAAAAGAAAAAAAATAAGTAAACAAATTATTTTTTTAAAAAAGAGAAAACACTGCTGAAGGAAATCTAAATAAATGAAGAGATGTGACATATTCACAGATTGAAATACTCAACAAAGATGTCAATTCTCCCCAAATCAGATTGATGTCAGTTATCTCCAATTCCTGCCAAAATCCCAGGAAGATTTTTTTGAAGACAGACAAAATTATTCTAAAATTTATACAGAAAAGCAAAGGACAAGAATAGCTTAAAATAATTTTGAAACAGAGTAAAGTGGGAGAAATGGGGGTAATCACTCAACCCAATTTTACTGCTTATATAGCTATAACAATCAAGTCTACGTAGTTTTGTTAGAAGGACAGACACACAGATGAATGGAACAGAACAGAGAACTTAAATAGACCCACACATATTTGCCAAATTGGTTTTTGGCTAAGGGGCAAAAGCAGTTTGATAAGGGAAAGATAGGCTTTCCAACAAATGGTGCTGGAGCAATTGGACATTCATAGGAAAAAGACAAAATAGACCCTTGAGGTAAGTACCTAAGTCTTACATACTAAGTAAAAATAATACTAAAGTAGAATATAAATTTAAATGTTAAATGTAAAACTATAAAACTTTGGGAAAATATTCTTTAAAATAAAAATTGATTAATTGGACTTAATCACAATTAAAATGTTTTGCTCTGTGAGAGACCCTGTTAAAGGGAGGAACAGACAAGCTACAGACTGTAAAAAAAAAATTTCAAACCACATACCCAGCAAAGGACTAGTAGCTAGACACAAAAAAAAAAAACACTCAAAAGTAAACAGTAAAAGACAAAAACAATCAAAGTAGACATGAAGAGACATTTTACTGAGGATATCCATTTAAAGAGGATATACAAAGGGCAAATAATTTTGAGGAAGTTCAATTTATCTATTTTTTATATTGTTGCTTGTGCCTTTGGTTTCATATCTAAGAAACCATTGCCTAATCCAAAGTCATGAAGAATTACCCATATGTTCTCTTCTAAGAACTTTATAGTTTTAGCTCTTACATTTAGGTCTTTGATCCACTTTGAGTTAATTTTGTATATGGGAAGGTAGAGGTCCAACTTCATTCTTTTTCATGTGGATATCCAATTGTCAGTACAATTTGTAATTGTTCTGGCACCACTATCAAAAACCAACTGACCATAAATGTGAGGGTTTTTTTTTTTTTGTACTTTAAATTATGTTCCTTTGATTAATATACCTATTCTTATGCCAGTACCATTCTCTTTATTAGCATAGCTTTGTTGTAAGTTTTAAAACTGGGAAGTCTGAGTCTTCAAACTTTGTTCTTCAAGACTATTTTGGCTAATATGGGTCTCTTGCATTTCCATATAAATGTCAGGATCAGCTTGTCAGTTTTTGCAAATAAGGTAGCTAGGATTTTGAGAGGGACTTTGTTGAATTTATAGATCAATTTGGTAAGTATTGTCACATTAACAATATTAAGTATTCCAATCCATGAACATAGGATGTCTTTTTATTTATTTAGACCTTTTAAAATTTCTTTCAAGAATGTTTTGCAGTTTTCAGGTTATAAGTTTTATACTGTTTTGTTAAATACAGACAGCAAATAAGTACATGAAACTATTTAACATCATTAATCATTAGGCAGATGCATATTAAAACCACAGTGTAGTATCACTACACACCTATCAGAATAGCAAAAATAAAAAACCTTGCTGGTGGGGCTGTAAAATGTTACCGCTACTCTGGAAAACAGTTTGATAGTTTCTTTAGAAACTGAATATGTGGCTGGGCGTGGCGGCTTACTCCTTTAATCCCAGCACTTTGGGAGGCCGAGGTGGCTGGATCATGAGGTCGGGAGTTCAAGATCAGACTGGTCAAGATGGTGAAACCCCGTCTCTACTAAAAATACAAAAATTAGCCGGGCGCAGTGGTGGGCGCCTGTAAGCCCAGCTACTTGGGAGGCTGAGGCAGGAGAACTGCTTGAACCTGGGAGGTGGAGGCTGCAGTGAGCCAAGATCATGCCACTGCACTCCAGCCTGGGCGACAGAGCAAGATTCCGTCTCAAAAAAAAGAAACCTGAACATGCAACTACCATCTAACCCAACAACAGTACTCCTGCACGTTTATTCCATTTAAATTAAAACTAATGTTCACACAAAAACCTGTAAATAATGTTTATGGCAACTTTATGACAGAAATAAAATGATGAAAAACACATGGGAAAAATCCACATGTACTTCAACTGGAGAATGGTTAAACAAATTGTAGTACATTCATAACATGGAATACTATGCAACAATAAAAAGTAACTATTGATACATGCAAAAATCTGGATGAAGCTCCAGATATTATGCTTAATGAAAAAGCCAAAGATGGCCTAATAGGAACAGCTCCGGTCTACAGCTCCCAGCGTGAGTGACGCAGAAGACAGGTGATTTCTGCATTTCCATCTGAGGTACCGGGTTCATCTCACTAGGGAGTGCCAGACAGTGGGCGCAGGTCAGTGGGTGCGCGCACCGTGTGCGAGCCGAAGCAGGGCGAGGCATTGCCTCACTTGGGAAGTGCAAGGGGTCAGGGAGTGCCCTTTCTGAGTCAAAGAAAGGGGTGACGGACGGCACCTGGAAAATCAGGTCACTCCCACCCGAATACTGCGCTTTTCCGACTGGTTTAAAAAACGGTGCACCACGAGATTATATCCCGCACCTGGCTCAGAGGGTCCTACGCCCACGGAGTCTCCCTGATTGCTAGCTAGCACAGCAGTCTGAGATCAAACTGCAAGGCAGCAGCGAGGCTTGGGGAGGGGCGCCCCCCATTGCCCAGGCTTGATTAGGTAAACAAAGCAGCTGGGAAGCTCAAACTGGGTGGAGCTCACCACAGCTCAAGGAGGCCTGCCTGCCTCTGTAGGCTCCACCTCTGGTGGCAGGGCACAGACAAACAAAAAGACAGCAGTAACCTCTGCAGACTTAAATGTCCCTGTCTGACAGCTTTGAAGAGAGCAGTGGTTCTCCCAGCATGCAGCTGGAGATCTGAGAACGGGCAGACTGCCTCCTCAAGTGGGTCCCTGACCCCTGACCCCCGAGCAGCCTAACTGGAAGGCACCCCCCAGCAGGGGCACACTGACACCTCACACGGCAGGGTACACCAACAGACCTACAGCTGAGGGTCCTCTCTGTTAGAAGGAAAACTAACAAACAGAAAGGACATCCACACCAAAAACCCATCTGTACATCACCATCATCAAAGACCAAAAGTAGATAAAACCATAAAGATGGGGAAAAAACAGAACAGAAAAACTGGAAACTCTAAAAAGCAGAGCGCCTCTCCTCCTCCAAAGGAACGCAGTTCCTCACCAGCAACGGAACAAAGCTGGATAGAGAATGACTTTGACGAGCTGAGAGAAGAAGGCTTCAGACGATCAAATTACTCTGAGCTATGGGAGGACATTCAAACCAAAGGCAAAGAAGTTGAAAACTTTGAAAAAAATTTAGAAGAATGTATAACTAGAATAACCAATACAGAGAAGTGCTTAAAGGAGCTGATGGAGCTGAAAACCAAGGCTCGAGAACTACATGAAGAATGCAGAAGCCTCAGGAGCCGATGCGATCAACTGGAAGAAAGGGTGTCAGCGATGGAAGATGAAATGAATGAAATGAAGCGAGAAGGGAAGTTTAGAGAAAAAAGAATAAAAAGAAATGAGCAAAGCCTCCAAGAAATATGGGACTATGTGAAAAGACCAAATTTACGTCTGATTGGTTTACCTGAAAGTGATGGGGAGAATGGAACCAAGTTGGAAAACACTCTGCAGGATATTATCCAGGAGAACTTCCCCAATCTAGCAAGGCAGGCCAACGTTCAGATTCAGGAAATACAGAGAACGCCACAAAGATACTCCTCGAGAAGAGCAACTCCAAGACACATAATTGTCAGATTCACCAAAGTTGAAATGAAGGAAAAAATGTTAAGGGCAGCCAGAGAGAAAGGTCGGGTTACCCTCAAAGGGAAGCTCATCAGACTAACAGCGGATCTCTCGGCAGAAACCCTACAAGCCAGAAGAGAGTGGGGGCCAATATTCAACATTCTTAAAGAAAAGAATTTTCAACCCAGAATTTCATATCCAGCCAAACTAAGCTTCATAAGTGAAGGAGAAATAAAATACTTTACAGACAAGCAAATGCTGAGAGATTTTGTCACCACCAGGCCTGCCTTACAAGAGCTCCTGAAGGAAGTGCTAAACATGGAAAGGAACAACCAGTACCAGCCGCTGCAAAATCATGCCAAAATGTAAAGACCATCGAGACTAGGAAGAAACTGCATCAACTAACGAGCAAAATAACCAGCTAACATCATAATGACAGGATCAAATTCACACATAACAATATTAACTTTAAATGTAAATGGACTAAATGCTCCAATTAAAAGACACAGACTGGCAAATTGGATAAAGAGTCAAGACCCATCAGTGTGCTGTATTCAGGAAACCCATCTCACGTGCAGAGACACACATAGGCTCAAAATAATAGGATGGAGGAAGATCTACCAAGCCAATGGAAAACAAAAAAAGGCAGGGGTTGCAATCCTAGTCTCTGATAAAACAGACTTTAAACCAACAAAGATCAAAAGAGACAAAGAAGGCCATTACATAATGGTAAAGGGATCAATTCAACAAGAAGACCTAACTATCCTAAATATATATGCACCCAATACAGGAGCACCAAGATTCATAAAGCAAGTCCTGAGTGACCTACAAAGAGACTTAGACTCCCACACATTAATAATGGGAGACTTTAACACCCCACTGTCAACATTAGACAGATCAACGAGACAGAAAGTCAACAAGGATACCCAGGAATTGAACTCAGCTCTGCACCAAGCGGACCTAGCAGACATCTACAGAACTCTCCACCCCAAATCAACAGAATATACATTTTTTTCAGCACCACACCACACCTATTCCAAAACTGACCACATACTGGGAAGTAAAGCTCTCCTCAGCAAATGTAAAAGAACAGAAATTATAACAAACTATCTCTCAGACCACAGTGCAATCAAACTAGAACTCAGGATTAAGAATCTCACTCAAAACCGCTCAACTACATGGAAACTGAACAACCTGCTCCTGAATGACTACTGGGTACATAACGAAATGAAGGCAGAAATAAAGATGTTCTTTGAAACCAACGAGAACAAAGACACAACATACCAGAATCTCTGGGACACATTCAAAGCAGTGTGTAGAGGGAAATTTATAGCACTAAATGCCCACAAGAGACAGCAGGAAAGATCCAAAATTGACACCCTAAAATCACAATTAAAAGAACTAGAAAAGCAAGAGCAAACACATTCAAAAGCTAGCAGAAGGTAAGAAATAACTAAAATCAGAGCAGAACTGAAGGAAATAGAGACACAAAAAACCCTTCAAAAAATTAACGAATCCAGGAGTTGGTTTTTTGAAAGGATCAACAAAATTGATAGACCGCTAGCAAGACTAATAAAGAAAAAAAGAGAGAAGAATCAAATAGACACAATAAAAAATGATAAAGGGGATATCACCACCGATCCCACAGAAATACAAACTACCATCAGAGAATACTACAAACACCTCTATGCAAATAAACTAGAAAATCTAGAAGAAATGGATAAATTCCTGGACACGTACACTCTCCCAAGACTAAACCAGGAAGAAGTTGAATCTCTGAATAGACCAATAACAGGAGCTGAAATTGTGGCAATAATCAATAGCTTACCAACCAAAAAGAGTCCAGGACCAGATGGATTCACAGCCAAATTCTACCAGAGGTACAAGGAGGAACTGGTACCATTCCTTCTGAAACTATTCCAATCAATAGAAAAAGAGGGAATCCTCCCTAACTCATTTTATGAGGCCAGCATCATCTGATACCAAAGCCAGGCAGAGACACAACAAAAAAAGAGAATTTTAGACCAATATCCTTGATGAACATTGATGCAAAAATCCTCGATAAAATACTGGCAAAACGAATCCAGCAGCACATCAAAAAGCTTATCCACCATGATCAAGTGGGCTTCATCCCTGGGATGCAAGGCTGGTTCAATATATGCAAATCAATAAATGTAATCCAGCATATAAACAGAGCCAAAGACAAAAACCACATGATTATCTCAATAGATGCAGAAAAAGCCTTTGACAAAATTCAACAACCCTTCATGCTAAAAACTCTCAATAAATTAGGTATTGATGGGACGTATTTCAAAATAATAAGAGCTATCTATGACAAACCCACAGCCGATATCATACTGAATGGGCAAAAACTGGAAGCATTCCCTTTGAAAACTGGCACAAGACAGGGATGCCCTCTCTCACCACTCCTATTCAACATAGTGTTGGAAGTTCTGGCCAGGGCAATTAGGCAGGAGAAGGAAATAAAGGGTATTCAATTAGGAAAAGAGGAAGTCAAATTGTCCCTGTTTGCAGACGACATGATTGTATATCTAGAAAACCCCATTGTCTCAGCCCAAAATCTCCTTAAGCTGATAAGCAACTTCAGCAAAGTCTCAGGATACAAAATCAATGTACAAAAATCACAAGCATTCTTATACACCAACAACAGACAGAGAGCCAAATCATGAGTGAACTCCCATTCACAATTGCTTCAAAGACAATAAAATACCTAGGAATCCAACTTACAAGGGATGTGAAGGACCTCTTCAAGGAGAACTACAAACCACTGCTCAAGGAAATAAAAGAGGATACAAACAAATGAAAGAACATTCCATGCTCATGGGTAGGAAGAATCAATATCGTGAAAATGGCCATACTGCCCAAGGTAATTTACAGATTCAATGCCATCCCCATCAAGCTACCAATGACTTTCTTCACAGAATTGGAAAAAACTACTTTAAAGTTCATATGGAACCAAAAAAGAGCCCGCATCACCAAGTCAATCCTAAGCCAAAAGAACAAAGCTGGAGGCATCACACTACCTGACTTCAAACTATACTACAAGGCTACAGTAACCAAAACAGCATGGTACTGGTACCAAAACAGAGATATAGATCAATGGAACAGAACAGAGCCCTCAGAAATAACGCCGCATATCTACAACTATCTGATCTTTGACAAACCTGAGAAAAACAAGCAATGGGGAAAGGATTCCCTATTTAATAAATGGTGCTGGGAAAACTGGCTAGCCATATGTAGAAAGCTGAAACTGGATCCCTTCCTTACACCTTATACAAAAATCAATTCAAGATGGATTAGAGACTTAAACGTTAGACCTAAAACCATAAAAACCCTAGAAGAAAACCTAGGCATTACCATTCAGGACATAGGCATGGGCAAGGACTTCATGTCTAAAACACCGAAAGCAATGGCAACAAAAGACAAAATTGACAAATGGGATCTAATTAAACTAAAGAGCTTCTTCACAGCAAAAGAAACTACCATCAGAGTGAACAGGCAACCTACAAAATGGGAGAAAATTTTCACAACCTACTCATCTGACAAAGGGCTAATATCCAGAATCTACAATGAACTCAAACAAATTTACAAGAAAAAAACCCCATCAAAAAGTGGGCGAAGGACATGAACAGACACTTCTCAAAAGAAGACATTTATGCAGCCAAAAAACATGAAAAAATGCTCATCATCACTGGCCATCAGATAAATGCAAATCAAAACCACAATGAGATACCATCTCACACCAGTTAGAATGGCAATCATTAAAAAGTCAGGAAACAACAGGTGCTGGAGAGGATGTGGAGAAATAGGAACACTTTTACACTGTTGGTGGGACTGTAAACTAGTTCAACCAATGTGGAAGTCAGTGTGGCGATTCCTCAGGGATCTAGAACTAGAAATACCATTTGACCCAGCCATCCCATTACTGGGTATATACCCAAAGGACTATAAATCATGCTGCTATAAAGATACATGCACATGTATGTTTATTGTGGCATTATTCACAATAGCAAAGACTTGGAACCAACCCAAATGTCCAACAATGATAGACTGGATTAAGAAAATGTGGCACATATACACCATGGAATACTATGCAGCCATAAAAAATGATGAGTTCATGTCCTTTGTAGGGACATGGATGAAATTGGAAATCATCATTCTCAGTAAACTATCGCAAGAACAAAAAACCAAACACTGCATATTCTCACTCATAGGTGGGAATTGAACAATGAGACCACATGGACACAGGAAGGGGAATATCACACTCTGGGGACTGTTGTGGGGTTGGGGGAGGGGGGAGGGATAGCATCAGGAGATATACCTAATGCTAGATGATGAGTTAGTGGGTGCAGCGCACCAGCATGGCACATGTATACATATGTAACTAACCTGCACAATGTGCACATGTACCCTAAAACTTAAAGTATAATAAAAAGAAAAAGCCAACCACCATTGTATTTATATAATACTCTTAAAATGATGCAATTATAAAAATGGGTACCATATTAATATTAATGATTGTCAGGGATTAAGGAGGGGGTGGGGCAGGAGGAAAGTGGGTGTGGCTCTCAAAGAGCCACAGGAGGGATCCTTGTGATGGAAATGCCCTGTATCTTCAAGTGTTTTGATGTCAGTATCCTAGTTGTGATATTGTAATGTAGTTTTGCAAGATGTTGCAGCTGAAGGAAACCAAGTAAAAGAATGTCTCTGTACTACTTCTCACAATTGCATGTGCATATGCAATTATCACAGAATAAAAAGGTTTAATTTACAAAATCAGATTAGATACAACTGGAGAGATAATTAATCAACCTGAAGATATGTCACAAGAAAACATCCAGAATGAAGAGCAGGGGATAAAAGGATGAAAAACACAGAAAAGTACTTAGCAGTCATAGGAGATATGTAACAAATACAATTGTTCCAGTAGGCAATGTGAAAGGGATTGGAGGAGAAATACTATTTGAAGAGATAAAAGGCTAAGAATTTTCTGCAACTACTGAAAGACATCAAGCCACAAATTCAAGAAGCTCTACTAAACTGAAGTAGAAGACAAAGAGAAAACCTTAAAAGCAGTCAGAAAAGGGCTGGGGTGGGGGTGGAGATTAACTTCAAGGAAGCACAATTAGACTTACAAACTACAGTAAAAGTACTGGAAACTAGAAGACAATATAATATTATTTTATACTACTATATCAAACAGTATATATGTTTGAATTCTAAACCTAGCAAAAATATCTTTCAAGAGTGAAGGTAAAATAAGACTTCTTAGAAAAGATTAAAATTTTTAAAATATATAACTAATAACTAATGGGCCCCAACTTTAAAAAATATACCAAAGTGTCTTCTTTAGACAGTAAAACAAATGATCCTAGGCAGAGGTTGATGATACAGAAAGGAATAAAGAGCAACAGGAAGGTTATATCTGGGGCAAATCTAAATAAAGAATGGCTGATTTGATGGCTGTAATAATGTCTCATGGGTTTTAAAATATACAGAAATAAAATACATAACAACTGCAGAGAACACAGGAGGGGTATAAATTAAGTTAAACTATTGTTAGGTCCTTGGATTGTCCAGGAATACCAAACAATATTTACAATATTATGTTACGGATGCATTTTGTAATCTCTAGGGTAACAGTTGCAATAACAGTAAAAGAAAATGTAACTTCCAAGGTAATATTAAGGAAAACATGGAATGACAAAATGCACTTATCCAAAAGAAGAAAACAAAAATTGAGAAGAAAGAAGAATATAAAACAGGTGGGACCAAAAAAACCACATCATTAAAACATTTAAAACCAAATATTTTAGTAATTACATCAAATATAGGTGAATGAAATGCACCATTTAAAACACAAAGACTACCAGATAGGATTTTTTAAAAACCAAAAACACCAACTATATGTTATTTATAAAAGACATTTACAACATTAGGTCACAGAAAATAAGTGCAAGTAAAAGGATGGGAAAAGACATGCTGTGCAAGCACTAACTCAAACAATAAACAGAAAAACTGGTGTATCTGTAATAATATTAAAGTATACTTAAAGATGAGAAGTATTAGCAAAGATAAAGAATAACATTTCATAATGATAAAAGCCAATTCTACAAGAAAATGTCACTATCTTAAATTGGTAGGCACCTACTGACACATAACCTCAAAATATGTATAGCAAAACTGATAGAACTATAAGAAGTAGACAAAATCACAATTATACTGGGAAATTTTAACCTACCTCTCTCTACAACAGGTCAAACAATCAGATGAAAAATAAGTAAGAATATGAAGAACTGAATGTGATTAAGAAATCTACCTAGTGGAGATATCTAGAACAATGCATTCAACACATACCAATACACATTTTCCTCATACAGACACAGAACTTTTACAAAAAGTTATGTTATACTGTATAATTAAGCAAGTATCAGTGAACTTCAGAGGACTTTATTTGACCACAATGCCATTAAGATAGAATTCTATAAAATATATATATATAGGAATTTTCTACCATATTTCTCACAGTCCTGAAGTCTGGGAAGTCCAAGATCAAGGCACTGGCAGATGTGGGGTCTGGGGAAGACTCACTCTCTGCCTCTAAGATAGCACCCTGTTGCTGTGTTCTCTGGGGATGAATGCTGTTTTCCAAACATATGGGGATTTTCTAGCATATACACACACACACATACACTAGAAAAAAACAAATATATATCTAGTATGTACATATTAGAAAATATGTGTGTACAGATTAGAAAATTCCTATAGTTCCATATACCATATATATTAGAAAAATATATATAATATCTAGTATATATTATATATAATATCTAGTATGTATTATATATAATATCTAGTATATATTATATATATAATATATAGAATATAATATATATATTATATAATATCTAGTATGTATTATATATAATATCTAGTATATATTATATATATAATATATAGAATATAATATATAATATCTAGTATATGTATTATATATTATATATAATATCTAGTATATATGTTATATATATATACTAAAACCCCGTCTCTACTAAAAATATAAAAAAATAGCCGGGCGTAGTGGTGCACACCTGTAATCTCAGCTTCTCAGGAGACTGAGGCACGAGAATCACTTGAACCCGGGAGGCAAAGGTTGCAGTGAGCCAAGATTGTGCCATTGCACTCCAGCCTGAGTGACAGAATGAGACTCCATCTCCAAAAAAAAAAAGATAGAAAAGAAAAATAAATTATATATATACATACATATATATACACACACACATATATATAAAATATAAAAATTTCCATACATTGGGAAAACAAGAAATATAAATAGGCTAAGGTCAAGGAATAAATCATAATGAAAAGTAGAATACATTTGAGTATAAGGGAATTGTTACATATTAAAACTTAGGTGATTCAGATAAATAAGTGCTTAAAAGAAAATTCAAGCTTAAGAGCCTATCTTGGTAAAGAAATCAAAGAACATCTAAATTAATGAAGAGACGTACCATGTTCATGAGTTGGAAGACAACACAGTAAATGTGTCAATTTTCCCCAAGTTGATACACAAGTTTGACTGAAAACTAATGTCAGCCATACTTCTCACAAATTAAAAATAGAACAGTTGACCCCGGCGCAGTGCCTCACGCCTGTAATCCCAGCACTTTGGGAGGCCAAGGTGGGTGGATCACGAGGTCAGGAGTTCAAGACCAGCCTGACCAATACGGTGAAACCCCGTCTCTACTATAAAAATACAAAAAATTGGCCAGGCATGGTGGCGCACGCCTGTAATCCCAGCTACTCGGGAGGCTGAGGCAAGAGAATCGCTTGAACCCGGGAGGCGGAGGGTGGCAGCCTGGGTAACAGAGAAAGACTCCATCTCAAAAAAAAAAAAAAAGAACAGTCAAACACAAAGTATATAAAAAGAGAACAATGAAGATAAATACACAACTAAAGAAAAAGAAAATAAACATAACACAGAGAGGATCAGCAAAGCCAAATGCTAGCTCTTTAAAAAAATAAAATTGATAAATCCCTGGCAAAACTCATATGATGAAAATGAAAGAAGACAAATTCCAATATCAGAAATTAAAAAGAAGACACCACTACACATCCAGCAAGCATAAAAAAGAGGCTGAAATGGTTCAAATGTATGTTTTCCCCCAAAATTAATATTTTGAAACCTAAGACCCAATGTGATAGTATTAAGAGTTGGGGCCCTTAGGAAGCGATTAAGTCCTGAGGATGGAACCCTCATGAATGGGATTAGTGACATTATAAAAGGGCTGGAGGGGACTTTCTGGGCCTTTTTGCCTTTCCATCTCTTCTATCATGTGAAGACACAGCATTCATCCTCAGAGGACACAGCAACAAGCTGCGATCTTGGAGGCAGAGAGCGAGTCTTCTGCACACCCCACATCTGCCAGTTCCCTGATCTTGGACTTCCCAGTATTCAGAACTGTGAGAAATAAATTTCTATTGTTTGTAAGTTACCGAGTCTGAGGTATTTTGTCACAGCAACCCAAAAGGACTAAAAAGGAAATTGTTATGAAAAAATCATATCCAAAGCATTTGAAAATATAAAATAAAAAGTACAAGTTTTCAAAGCTGATATTAGAAAAATAGAAATTTAAAGAGTCCTGTAGTAATAAAATCAATTGAATCCATAACCAAATCTTTCCCACTAAGAAAACCCCAGGGACAAGGATGAAGCTGGAAACCATCGTTCTCAGCAAACAAACTAACACAGGAAGAGAAAACACCACATGTCCTCATAAATGGGAGTTGAACAGTGAGAACACATGGACACAGGGAGGGGAACATCACACACCGGGGCCTGTCAGGGGATGGGGGCAAGGGGAGGGAGAGCATTAGGACAAACACCTAATGCATGCAGGGCTTAAAACCTAGATGACGGGTTGATAGGTGCAGCAAACCACCACGGCACATGTGTACTTATGTCACAAACCTGCACATTCTGTACATGCATCCCAGAACTTAAAGTAAAATAAAAGTAAAAAGAAAAAAAGAAAAACCCAGGCCCTACAAATTCAACCAAACATTTAAGGAAGAGATCATGCCAATCATAAGCTCTTCTAGAAACCACGCCAATCATACACAAGCTCTTCCAGAGAATAGAAAAGCAATAGAAAATGAATATTAAAGAGCATAAAATGGCCTCAATTCATTTTTGAGACTAGAATTACCCTGATACTAAAACCTGACAAAGTAAGTCTCACTCATCAGCCTAGATGCAAAAATACCAATTAAAAGACAATAAGACAGAATCAGCATGACCTAATCAGGTATATGAACAGGAATGTCAGTGCATTAGTCCATTCTCACACTACTATAAGACATACTTAAGACTGGGTAACTTATAAAGAAAAGAGGTTTAATGACTCACAGTTCCGCATGGCTGGGGAGGCCTCAGGAAACTTACAATCATGGCAGAAGGCACCTCTTCACAAGGTGGCACATGGTGGCACACGCCTGTAATCCCAGCTACTCAGGAAGCTGAGGCAGAATCGCTTGAACCGGGAGGCAGAGGTTGCAGTGAGCTGCACTGCACTCCAGCAACAAGAGCGAAACTCCGTCTCAAATGAAACCAGAAAGGAGAGGAGCGTGATGGCGGCAGCCCCTTATAAAACCATCAGATCTCCTGAGAACTCACTCACTCTCACGAGAACAGCATGGAGAAACCACCCCCATGATTCAATTATCTCCACCTGGTCCCACCCTTGACACCTGATAATTATTACAGTTCAAGGTGAGATTTGGGTGAGGACACAGAGCCAAACCATATCAATCAGGTTGCTTTGACATCAGAAAACAATAAATATAATTAGGAGAATTAACATTTTTTCTTTAATAGAAAAATATATGATCATTTCAAGAGATACAAAAAAATGTAAAGTTCAACAGCCATTCAAGATAAAAACAGCTAGGCAAGCTAGGAGTCCAAGGGAACTTTCTTTTAAGAGACACTAGATAGCCACAAAAAATTACAGAAAAATCTTACTTGTCTCAATACTTGAAATACGGAAAGCTTTCCTTTCCTGTAAGAAGCAAGCCCATGGTCCCAGCTGTCATCACTGCTACCCAGCATTGACTATGAAGTCCCAGGCAGTACAGCAAGACACAAACAAGAAAAAAAAGGTATAAGGATCAAAAAGGAAGAAATTTTCAAACATCACCTTTCACAGATGATATGATCATATAGGTAGAAAACCTAAAATAATCTAACATAAATTATTCCCAGTAGCTAAACATTAAGAAATATGTAATCCCAGCAGTTTGGGAGGCTGAGGCGGTCGGATCACCTGAGGTCATGAGTTCGAGACCAACCTGACCAACAAGGAGAAACCCTGTCTCTACTAAAAATAAAAAATTATCCAGGCGTGGTGGTGCATGCCTGTAATCCCAGCTACTCGGGTGGCTGAGGCAGGAGAATCACTTGAACCCGGGAGGCAGAAGTTGTGGTGAGGCACATTGCACTTCAGCCTGGGGAACAATAGCGAAGCTCCAACTCAAAAACAAAAACAAAAAAAAGAAAAAAACAAAAGAGACAGAGAAAGCAATATGTTATCTCATTCATGCAAAATCTAATGTGGGTTGGTGAAAACTCCTTTAGTTCTAGGCATCCTTCATCCTGTCCACCATCACCTCACTGGTGGCCTCCAAGGTCACCATGATGAAAGACAGAGTGTTAGGGAAACACATCAACTTTTAAACTTTGGCCCAGAAGTGGTACATGGCATTTCCACTCACATTTCATTTGCTAGAACTAGTCACATGGCCCCACCTAACTACCAGGTAGTAGGAAGTGTAATCTTCCTGTGCGCCCCTCTGGTCATTGTTTTTCCCATATGTAGAACATACTCTCACTTTCTCAAGAGAGAAAACCTCACTTGAAATTGTCAGCAAATCCAGCTTGAAATTGAGGGTCTTCTTAAGCTAGGCACCGTGGCTCATGTCTGTAATCCCAACACTTTGGGAGACCAAGGCAGGTGGATCACCTGAGGTCAGGAATTTGAGACCAGCCTGACCAATATGGTGAAACCTCATCTCTAAAAAAAAAAAAAAAGAAAGAAAGAAATTGAGGGTCTTCAAGTGAACTGCCTAGTGCTCTCCATCAGGTCTATACCTGCTTCTTCTTGGTCTGGAGATTTCTAAACTAGAAGAGACATATTCCTTTCCTCCTATACAGACCCAATATTTAATGATGGAGTAGGGTTAGGACAACTGCAATAAATACTTTCACTTTTAAATGGAGAGAATGAAGACAGATAGGGGTAACAATTTTGAAATATTCTTAGGCTCTGCACAGTGGCTTATGTCTGTAATCCCAACAACTTTGGGAGACTGAGGCAGGTGGATCACCTGATGTCAGGAGTTTGAGACCAGTCTGACCAATATTATGAAACCCCATCTCTAAAGAAAAAAAAAGAAAAAGAAAAAAGAAAGAAACAAAAAGAAATTGAGGGTCTTCAAGTGAACTGCCTAGTGCCCTCCATCAGGTCTACACCTGCTTCTTCTTGGTCTGGAGAGTTATAAACTAGAAGAGACATATTACTTGCCTCCTATATAGACCCGATATTCAATGATGAAGTAGGGTTAGGACAACTGCAATAAACACTTTTAAACGGAGAGAATGAAGACAGGTAGGGGTAACAATTCTGAAATCCTTCTGAGTAGACATTGTGAAAGCTCATACCCTCGTTAGAGAAGGTTTCTTCATTAAGCTTCTCTAGGAAGAAGTCCCTTGTTCCTTGTTCTCCCTGGCCCTTTTGTCATTCCATCACTCTCCTTGGCCACATCTGAAATGGACGTGGAAGAATATGCTGTGTTTGGACTGTGAAACTCAGCTGCTGTTGGCCCATGGAAAATTAGGGAGCCATAGCTTGTTTTAAGTCATGAATAGTCCGAGCCTTTTTTAGTTCAAACTGTGGGTTTCTTTTGTAATACAATGTCCTTAAAAACTTAGTCTGCTTTTAATTTGTTTCCAAAGAGTTCCCTGTACCGTAACTCCCCCAAAAGTTATTTTTCAGATGTAGATCTCAACTTATTTACCTTCTTTGCTCCCCCGTCTCTCTCACACACAATATCATGGCACTTACCTTGAGTCTATCTGGATCTTTTTAATCTGCCTTTTGCCCTGAGGTAATTTGGGCCTTTGTTGCTCAATGGTGTTGTCAATCCTGTATCAAGTTAGTTGGCATCTGGAAGCAGACAGCTTTTTAATTTTGCTAAGCCCTAACTTTCTGGAATTTCTCTATTTCCTTTATTGCTGCTCACAAACTAGCCACTTATTTCTTGTAAGGCTTTGTTGAATGAAGACAACAGCCAAGATATGCTTACAATAGCCTTCTTTCTTAGCCTTCTTAATGCAAGTATGCCATTTAACAAGTGTGTTACCATTAATAGTACAGACTGCCATGCCCCAGCCTCCAGTATCAGTGTCCTTGGCACACATCACCAGCCACTAAGCTAATGCTGTATATTTTGGCTTTTTGATACAGCAGCACCAATGATTAGTCGGGACAGGATAGGCTATGCTGAGGTAAAAAACAAAGGGTTGTTTATCGCTCATACAAAGATGATGCAATCAGGCAAAGCTCCAGGCAAGAAACTTTCCTCCATAAAGTGATGCAGGGATCCAACTACTTTCATCTTGTGTCTCCACAATCTCAACACAGAGCCTCCCTGCAGTGAATGTCATGGAAAGGGAAACAGAATAAAGGAGGCACTCCTCATGACCTCATTCCAGAAATAGCGTTGTACACTGCCTTCCTAAAACCCCACAAATTAAAACATACTACAAAAACACTATGACCAAATCAATATGTCATTGGCATAAGAGTGACAGATTAGAATATAAAATATATGTGAGTATATGTAATAATTTAATACAACAAAAGTAGCATTTCAATACAGTGGGGAATTATTATTTAATACATAATTATTTTGGTTTTCACTAAACCACAAATATTTAACTGGCATAACAGGCTACCTAGCCAGTAAAAAAAATAAAATTGGACTCCTGTTTTAGCCATATATGAAAATAAGGCCTGGGAGCGGTGGCTCACGCCTGTAATCACAGCACTTTGGGAGGCCGAGGCAGGCAGATCATGAGGTCAGGATATCGAAACCATCCTGGCTAACACGGTGAAACCCCGTCTCTACTAAAAATACAAAAAATAAGCCGGGCGTGGTAGCGGGCGCCTGTAGTCCCAGCTACTCAGGAGGCTGAGGCAGGAGAATGGCGTGAACCCGGGAGGCGGAGCTTGCAGTGAGCCGAGATCGCGCCGCTGCACTCCAGCCTGGGCGACAGAGTGAGACTCCATCTCAAAAAAAATAAAAATAAAAATAAAAAATAAAATAAAATAAAAATAAAAAAAGAAAATAAGATTTATATTAAAGGCTTAAATAGAACAATAAAAATTCAGCAAGAAATTCTGAAGGGTTATATCAACACTCTCAACAAAGGGACAGGTTCCTAACCAAGACCAGATACCCGGAAACTATAGAAGAAATGATAAACATTTGGTAATGCAAAAATTAATTTTTGTATGACAAAAGATGATGTAAAGTCAATATATAATTGAGATTTGGAATGCATAGCCACTTGTAAGGCTGAAATTTAAGATACAGAGAACATGCACAAATTGACAGCAAAAAATAAATCTATAAATCTATTGTTGGCAGCTGTGTGAGAAAAGGGTACTCTTATGCACTGCTGCTAGAAATGAGAACTATACCTTCTGTTGAAAGCAATCTGAAAATATCTATTAAAATTAAAAATGCACATACACTTTGAACCCAGCATGAGTAAAATGGAATTCCATGGTAGAATAGAAACAAAATGATGCTTATCAATAGAGGAAGACTTAGAGGTGTGCTACAGGGGAAAAATGCATATACACACATATATCGTATATACGCATATATATATCATATATACACACACATCTACTTTTATTATAAAATTTATTAACACTAAAAGATTTGTGGCACAAAGTTTACAAATAATCATAAAATATATGATACTGTTTTATAAAATGTATATATTCAACTGATTCTCACAAAATGCTTTTTTGATTTTTGCCAAAGTCTTGTATCTGCAGCCAATTGATAGTTGCAACCAATACACAAATATAACAAAATGTTACCCACAGACAACTTAGTCAACCTGGAAGAAAACCCTCCTGGGGGTTGTCACTGAGGATTTTGCTGGATCCTCACCCCACAGAAGTGAAGATTTCATGGCCACATGATCAAGGGCTTGGATCATTGTGGTCTTTTGTGTTTCCAAAGACAATTACCACAATATTTCCCTTACCACATGCACTGTTGTGATATTATCTTGCCACTTTCATCGAAAGGTGAATGTTGTATCTCCTCCCCGTGAATCTGAGCTGACCCTGTCATCATTGTGATCAATAGAATATGGTGGAAATGACGCAGCTCCAGCCTTTGCCTCTTGGAGTGCTTCTTCTTAGAACTCAGTCACCATACTGTGAGGAAGGCCAAGTAGCCACGTGGAGAGGTCAACATAAAGGAGAGTTCAGGTCCCCTCCTGATAGGCCCAGCTGAGCTCCCAGCTTGCAGCCAGCATCAACCCCCAGCCATGTGAGGGAGGTAATGTTGAACCCTGCAGCCATCCCAGTATCCCAACACCATGTGAAGCAGATACACCACATGTGCAACCCACAGGCTTGTCATAATGAATGGTTATTGGCAATTCGAACTACTAAGTTTTAGGGTGGTTTGTTATATGGCAATAGATAACCTGAACAACTGTCCAAATGAGGACTTGGTTTAAAAATCTATTTTAATGATATGAACAAATACATACACATATTATGCTTAAATGCCAAAACGTGTTACCATCTGTATAGTTTGCTTTCCTGGCAGTCTTTTTGGTTCTGTTTTCCTATTTTGCTTGGCTTCCTTTTCTCCCTCCCACACATCACATCCTATGCCCCCAAATCAAGTTGATTCTGGATACTTATGCAATTATTTATTAATGTGTACAGACACATATAGAGAGGGTTTTATTGAGGGGGGATCATTGTGTTATAAAAATGATTCTGTGGTTCTATATTTTGCTTTCTTATTTGACAATTCTTTGTAAAAATTCCTCCAAATCCCCTATAGAGCTCCAATTCATTCTTTTAAATAGTTGCATAAAATTACACAGCATGGCCATTCCATATTAATCAACCATTCTCAGGGGTGTGCTGGAGCCAGCATATACTGGCTGGTGAAAGTCTACTGTTAATTTTTAGGAATTTTGTGAGTTAGCTGTTAAATGCAGCCAATAAAAAAAATTAAATTACACAAACTTCCAATTAAGTACATGTTATTAAAAACAAAGGTAATGCATACTCAGAGTAATCAAGTCCTAATTATCTTACCTCATTTTACTATTATTGATGCTCCTAGGGTGACTTACATTTATTACAAAATACTATGTAATGGTGAACTTCTGTGCATCTCTCTCCAAGACTGTGTTCAGGGGTGTCAAATAGGTAGTTTAAAATTGGCCTTGGTGGAACTATATATACCATGGGAATTGGCAAACAATGCACATCAGGGCCTGATTGATTGTTTTGTTGATTGTCTAGACTTAAGCAAGTGATGGAGAAAATGTTAATGGTGCAAATTCAACTTTAAAGTGTGTCACGTCTGTAGCTGTTGCATTGTGAAGCAGGGACAGGTGAGGAGTTTGAATTATTAAATAAGTTGGTTGAGAGGGGTTGCATGGAGAAGGTAAGCACAGAGGTAAAGGAGGTGAGGGTGTGAGCCCAGCGAATATCTGAGACAAGAGCATCTGAGCAGAAGGAACTGCAAGTGCAAAGGCCCTGGGGCAGGTGTGTGCCTGGCAGGTTGGAGGAATGGGAAAGAGGGCAGTGTGGCTGAGAGCCCAGTGAACAGGAGAAAGTGAAGGGGTTGCAGAATGCAGAAGGAGCAATAGGAGGGGATGTTAGAGAAGGTGCAGGGAGCCAGTCAAATTATCTGGGGCTTTGCAGAATCCAGGAGGGACGCTGGCTTGCATTTCAGGTGAAAAGGAGGAGGCTCGGCAAGGTTTGAGCAGAGGAGCAGCATAATCTGGCTTACCGTTGTAAAGGCTTCTTCTGACTGCAGTGCTGAGAGCAGACTGCAGAGGCGAGGATGAAGGTGGCTTGCACTAGGATGGAAACGGGGCCGGGTGGAGAGAAGCCATCAGATCCCGGATGCGCTGGGGCAATGGAACGACAATTTCCTGACAGATTGGATGTAGGGTGCAGGAGAAAAAGGAACCATGAACAAACACAGGCTCCTGGCCCAAGCCATGGGGAAGACAGGGCAGCCACCAACCCAGACAGGGAGGTGGGAGGAGATGAGGAGTTCAGTGTTGGACGTGTTGGATGTGAGCAGAGGTATCTTTGACATCCACGTTGAAAACCTGGTTGGAGGTCAGGAGTCAGGACAGAGGTCCAGGCTGGAGGCGTACATGGGAGTCATTGGAATCTGGAGGGCATTTAAAAGCCCAAGGCAGGATGAGATCAGTAAGGGAATGAGAGGGTAATAAAACAAGGTACAGTAAGGACTGAGCTCCAGAATGTGCCAACATGTTCAAGGTCAAGTTCACAAAAAAGAGCCAGCAAGGGAGTGAGGAGGAACTACCAGAAGGTGGGAGCGAGGCTGAGAGCAGCAGAGTCCTGGCAGCCAGGTGAGGAGAGGCCAGCAAGGAGAGAGAGACTAGCCAGCAGAGTCAGACTCAGTGGGTGGCTCAGACAGCCGATGTCTGCCAGCCGACCCTGGGTTTTGGGTTGGGGGTCACTGCTGACTTCATTAAGCCTCAGGGAATCCATGAGGTCAAGAGTGTGCTGGAGGGGGGTGTTCAAGAAAGACGGAGAGGAGTTTCGCTCCTACAAAGAGCTTTGCTATCCAGAGGGGGAAAGAAACACGGAAGTGGCCGAGCGCCGTGGCTCACACCTGTAATCCCAGCACTTTGGGAGGCTGAGGCGGGCAGATCACCTGAGGTCAGGAGTTTGAGACCAGCCTGGACAACATGGTGAAACGCCGTCTCTACTAAAAATACAAAAATAGCCAGGCGTGGTGGCACATGCCTGTAATTCCAGCTACTCGGGAGGCTGAGGCAGGAGAATCGCTTGAACCCAGGAGGCTGAGGTTGCAGTGAGCCAAGATCGTGCCACTGCGCTCCAGCCTGGGCTACAGAGCGAGACTCCATTAAAAACAAACAAACAAACATGAAAGCGGAGGGCAGGAGTAGAGATCAAGACTGCTTTTGAAGATGGAGGAACAATCAGGGTACAGTGGCTCTCACCTGTAATACTAGAACTTCAGGAGGCTGAGGCGGGAAGGATTGCTTGAGACCAGGAGTTTAAGACAAGTCTGGGCAACATAATGAGACCCCTGTTTCTACAAAAATTGTAAAAATTAGCCTGGTGTGGTGTTACATGCCTGTAGTCCCAGGAATTCCAGGCAGCAGTGAGCTGTGATTGGACCACTGCACTCCAGCCTGGGCAACAAAGTGAGACCCCATCTCAAAAAATAATAAAATAAAATAAAATAAAGATGGAGAAACAATGGGTGCATGAATGCTGGTGCTAGGAGTGGAGCACCTGTGGCAGTGCACAAAACAGACAGACTGCTCCCTGGTGAAGCCCGGGCTTTGATGGGGCCCCTTCCAGTCAGTGGCACATGCTTTGGCTCCTCCCCACCCCTGCACGCCCAACCCCAGAGGAGAGCAGCCCTGTGCCTTGCTCAGATGCGGCCCCGTTGGGAGCAGCACATGCTGTTTTAAAAGAACATTCCAACCGCAGCTGGACGTCCCACCTTCCCATGAATCACCCCAGAAAATAACCGAGTGGCTGGCAAATATTCAAGCCAAACCCCCAGTGCGGGAGGCAGCAAGACGTGACATGAATGAGGAGTGTGCAGGATGAGCCTGAGAGGCAGGGACAGACGGGCTCTTGTTAGAAATGTCTATTTGTGGCTCCCCAGTCTAATTTCGGAATATGATAATGAATAAATATTGGTCTTTCCTTCCACAGCCTTTTCCTTCTGGGTGGCTCAGCCAAATAGATGCTGCCACCTTTTGTTTTCTAGAACTGTTGAGAGACTGGGGCTCAGAAGAAAGGCGTCCCCCAGGGTCTCAGGGCAAGATGGTAGCAGAGAAGGGGACCCTGAATGGTCAGAGACCCTGGGAAGGATCTGTGTTTGCCCTAAGCTTGAACCGTACCTCCTGAGTTTGTCTCTCTAATGCACCCTCCGAGTGTCATCCAACTACTGCTTAAATACCACCAATGGCAGGGAGCTCACTACCACCAAGTGGTCCATGCCCGTCGTTAGTTGGTTCAGAATGTTAGAAAGTTCCTTCATTTGACAAACTTCTTTCTTGAATTCCTGTAATGTGTTGAGCAGTTTTCTAGACATGGGATGCCATGAACTGGTCCTTCAGAGTCCCTGCCCTCAGTGGAGAGACAAACAGGAACCTATACACAGCAGCATAGGGAAGAGAGGGAGGGAGGAGAGTCCAGCTCGTGCTTAGCAGTGCAGAGGACACAAGGCCACAGGAGAGGGTGAGGGGGCTTTTTGCATTAGTTGACATTGAGCAGTGTCGACTAAGTTGAGAGCTGGGTGACAGGAAGGAGCTCTATGTGTGGGTCCAAGTGAGGGCAGCATTCTGAACAGAGGGACGGGAATTCCCAGAGGTGGGCAGGCACCCTTGACATTCTCACTGGGGAAGAGTCAGTCCCAGGATCAAAAACTGGAGGGCTGGGCACGGTGGCTCACGCCTGTAATCCCAACACTTTGGGAGGTTGAGGGGGGGTGGATCACTTGGGGTCAGGAGTTCAAGACCAGCCTGGCCAATATGGGGAAACCCTGTCTCTACT
The DNA here is from genome assembly GCF_000001405.40 of Homo sapiens. Taxonomy (NCBI): domain Eukaryota; kingdom Metazoa; phylum Chordata; class Mammalia; order Primates; family Hominidae; genus Homo; species Homo sapiens. The sequence continues at coordinate 32,280,195 of NC_000022.11, read as the reverse complement.
AAAAACACACAAATTAGCCAGGCATGGTGATGCATGCCTGTAATCCCAGCTACTCCAGAGGCTGAGGCACGAGAATTACTTGAACCTGGGAGGTGAAGGTTGCAGTGAGCAGAGATCGTGCCATTGCACTCCAGCCTGGGCAACACAGTGAGACTATGTCTCAAAACAAACAAACAAACAACAACAACAAAAAACTGGAGTAAGGCAATTGGGCACTTGGTCGCAGGGCATGGGCCACCTGTCCAGGTGTGCATCACCCTTGAGCAGCCCCTCCCCCAGGTCACCTCCCCACCTTCCCCACCCCCACCGACTCTAGGTCTTCTGGCCTTCCTGTCTGCTCTGAGTGGTGCTGGGAGGAGGGTCTGGGTGGGCTTGGGATCACAGAGGGCAGACATGTTGAGGAGGCTCTTGAGGTCACAGTGGCCCACTGCTATGGTTTGAATATAACCCCCTTCAAAACTCATGTAAAACTTAATTGCCAATTTGGCAGTGTTGAGAGGTGGAGCCTTTAGAGGTGATTGGATCATGAGGGTTCTGCCCTCACACCTGGCTAATTTTTGTATTTTTAGTAGAGACAGTGTTTCACCGTGTTGGCCAGGCTGGTCTTGTACTCCTGACCTCAGGTGATCCGCCCACCTCGGCCTCCCAAAGTGCTGGGATTACAGGCGTGAGCCACCACATCCGGCCCTACACTAACATTTTTTTTGTGTCTCTTGTACTGGCAGATGACCTGCTTTGTTTCATTGCAGCCTCTTCCTTGGTTGTGCCACTACTGAGTTCTCCAGCTCTCAGCGATTATTCAGCATACTTCTTTCATTGATGTCAACCTACCTACTGCTAAGCACAGGGCATAAACTTTTTAACAATTTAATTTTATAGCAGCAAGTTCTTTTGGTTGTTTGTTTTTGTTTTTGTTTTTTGAGACGGAGTCTCACTCTGTCGCCCAGGCTGGAATGCAGCGGCGCAATCTCCGCTCACTGCAAGCTCCGCCTCCCGGGTTCACGCCATTCTCCTGCCTCAGCCTCCTGAGTAGCTGGGACTACAGGTGCCCGCCACCACGCCCGGCTAATTTTTTGTATTTTTAGTGGAGACGGGGTTTCACCGTGTTAGCCAGGATGGTCTCCATCTCCTGACCTCGTGATCCGTTCGCCTCGGCCTCCCAAAGTGCTGGGATTACAGGCGTGAGCCACCGCGCCCGGCCTATAGCAGCAAGTTTTAAATGATATGTTGATATTTTCTCTATTAGTATTTAACTTCTAGAAATGAAAAATGTTTTCTAAATCTTGAGGGATAAATTATAAATATTTTCTTCTCTGTAAGAACTGTATCTGACTTGATCTGTAATCTTGTTTTCTTCTTTTTTTATCCATTTCATAGTATTGCTTACTGTCTTTCTCTTTTCTGAAGTTGCTAAAATGTCATTTAACTACAATGTAGAAAATTCTGATTGATTATGGAGGAATTTTAGGTCTCGAGGACTTTTATTTTTTGTTGCGTTCCTTGAATTCATTTTAAATTATGCTTTGGTCCATTCTTCTTTGAATATAGTATTTTTTAAAATCTTACACACGTCACAGTTCAAATATTTGTTTGATTTAGAGAAACTTCAGAATATTTTCCCAAAACTTAAAGATCCATTTTTATTTAAGATTGAAATTTTCTAACCAAAACAAAACAAAAAAATCAGCAGCTTGACTTGGGGTGAATCCTGAAGCATTTTCTGGAACTCAGTAAAGACAGGGATATATTCTATTAACTTTGAAGAATTCTTTTCTTGCTTTTGAATTTTGTCCTTGCTTACATCTTTATGAGGGTAAGAAATGTGCATATTATAACAAACAATGAATAGAAAAACAAAGTGAATAAACACCACTCATAAACAGTTTGAATTTTGGCCCAAATACAGAATCTTGATCGAAGTTAGACTAAACCTAGGGATTCACCATTATGCTATGAGATTATTCACAGCTCAAATGATTTTGTAAAGCCATTTGGGGTCTAAGGTTTAGGTTCTCCCTTTTGGAAACTTAGTTGTCATAGTTCAAAATTAGAGAGATGTTCTCAAAGTCTTTTCACAGTAGACCCTAACACGCTAAGTGACCTAGACCCAGGGAGTTCTTGTAGTCCCATATAAGAGATGATCCAGTGGGGCCCTAAACCTCTTTCTTTCACCAAAGCTGTCTGCTTTCATTTCCCTTCCCCCTGCCTAACCAGCTGTGGGCCACAGCTCTGAAGATGTGATATGAATGTCATGGAAGTTTTTATGAGTTGCCTAATTCAATTTTAAGATAGACTTTCTTTGAGATTTAGACCTTTGAAATAGAACTTTAAAATAAAACCAGAAATCGGGCTGGGCGCGGTGGCTCACGCCTGTAATCTCAGCACTTTGGGAGGCCGAGGCGGGCAGATGATGAGGTCAGGAGATCGAGACCATCTTGGCTAACACGGTGAAACGCCATCTCTACTAAAAAATACAAAAAATTAGCCAGGCATGGTGGCGGGCACCTGTAGTCCCAGCTACTCGGGAGGCTGAGGCAGGAGAATGGCATGAACCCGGGAAGCGGAGGTTGTAGTGAGCCAAGATGGCGCCACTGCACTGCAGCCTGGGCAACAGAGAGAGACTCCATCTCAAAAAAAATAAATAAGTAAATACATAAAACCGGAAATCTATGAGCATCTGTTATTCAAGAGTGATGAACATCATGAGAGCTTAAAATCCTTCACAGTTTTCCCCCTTTATTAGTGAAATTTCAGGATAATTTTGTTATATTAGAATCTATGAATTCGATTATGCACAAGTTTTTAATCCATATAAGAAAGCAGAAGTTAAAATAATTTCTATTCTAACCTATCATTTCCGGGAGACTCATGAGTTTTATTAAAAGATCACACTCAGAGGTTGACTTAAGGAAATACATGTTTGAAAGTGTCCAGAAATATGTACTAACTTCTGTACAGTTTCTTAATAGGCCCTTCTCTTTTTTGAACCTTCAAATTCTAAAGCAATAAACAGATTTAAAGGGATGTGTAGTTGATTAAAAAATATAAACAAATATAAAAATAGATCTGATTTGTTGGATTAGAAAAGGAGAGAAAGAGAAGGACAACTGAAGTTTAATTTTGAATGAAAAAATTATTTCATAATGTAGTGTGAGTAAATCATGTCACTTACATTGGGAATAAGTATTTTAAATCATCAGTTTGATAGTCATAAGAGATGCCAAAACAAATTATAAGCATAATTATAACTTAAGAAAATCTAAAAAGTGAAAATTTATACCTAGAATCAGAATACAAATGAACTATATGACCTTATTAATGAATTCATTGAGATATATTATTCCAAATCAAAAAGTATATCTAGCTTTGCCAAAAAAATTAAAAGGAATATCTTGAAAGAGCAGAGTTCAGTCATTTCAATCAGTAAGTTTTCTTAGTGTCAAATCAGTTTTACAAAACGTAGTCCACCTGTTATGATTCAGCTTCCATTTTGGATGACCTGGAGGGTTGTCTGTGTAAATTAGTGAATATTCAGAATTACGGGATATTTAAAAGAAATGTAGTTATATTATAATATAGAAATATGGCAATAGTAATCCTAAATTCTTACAATGCACCCTTGATTTAATGAATAAAGAAGATTCATTTTTAATCAGCACCTAATTATTTTTATGCAAATGGAGCTATTGCAATACTTGAAAATAGTTTGTTCTCTTGGTTAAAGTTGGTTAAACGTTTCCCTTTGAAATTTTCTTTCCATTGTCCCTTTGCTTAGCAAACTATAATACAAAGCTAAATGCCTTGTCAGCCGTATTCAATTTGCACAGAGACCAAACCAGCAGATACTAATTTAGTAAGTTTTCGTTATGTTCTCCCTGAGCCTGTGATGACATTCATTGATAGCTCAGATTATTAATGCAGCTATACAGACTTTATACAAAATATTGATTGTCTTAAGAGATAAAGTCCTATAGGAAGATTATCTTTATCTGATTTATTCATCTACATTTTACAAAAGAAAGTGTCATAATGTATGGCTTTTGAAAGGAAATAAATCTGTAATACTATTTATAGAACTAAAACATTTATGCTTTTATATATTAGGAAACAGTAACTTGATATATAACTGCAAATCTTTAAAAAAATTGTGGCGAAGGATATGAACAGACACTTCTCAAAAGAAGACATTTATGCAGCCAAAAGACACGTGAAAAAATGCTCATTATCACTGGCCATCAGAGAAATGCAAATCAAAACCACAATGAGATACCATCTCACACCAGTTAGAATGGCGATCATTAAAAAGTCAGGAAACAACAGGTGCTGGAGAGGATGTGGAGAAATAGGAACACTTTTACACTGTTGGTGGGATTATAAACTAGTTCAACCATTGTGGAAGTCAGTGTGGTGATTCCTCAGGGATCTAAACTAGAAAATCCATTTGACCCAGCAATCCCATTACTGGGTATATACCCAAAGGATTATAAATCGTGCTGCTATAAAGACACATGCACATGTATGTTTATTGCAGCACTATTTACAATAGCAAAGACTTGGAACCAACCCAAATGTCCATCAATGGTAGACTGGATTAAGAAAATGTGGCACATATACACCATGGAATACCATGCAGCCATGAAAAATGATGAGTTCATGTCCTTTGTAGGGACGTGGATGAAGCTGGAAACCATCATTCTCAGCAAACTATCGCAAGGACAAAAAACCAAACACCGCATGTTCTCACTCATAGGTGGGAATTAAACAATGAGAACACATGGACACAGGAAGGGGAACATCACACACTGGGGCCTGTCATGGGGTGAGGGGAGGGATAGCATTAGGAGATATACCTAATGCTAAATGACGAGTTAATGGGTGCAGCACACCAACATGGCACATGTATACATATGTAACAAACCTGCACGTTGTGCACATGTACCCTAAAACTTACAGTGTAATAAAAAAATAAAGTTAAAAAAAATTGTGGTCCCCTTTTGTTCAGAGTATGCACCTTGATTCAATTAATCAAGAGTCGATTTTTCTTTTGTATCTCCAGCATCCACAGAACTTTTCAGACACAGAGAGAGCCATTAGTGTACTACTGGTGTACAATAGAGTTATAAGCTGCTATAAAATAAGAACTGTATGTTACAGTGTTAGACAATTATAAAATCAAACAAGTGAGTTAATGAAGTTGTGAATTGTATGATATGAAGACTGACTAGAGAAAGAGCTTGAATAGGGAAGCTGAGCTTTCAAGGACTCATAAGTTGAACTGAACTTTAAAGAAAGGCCAGGATACAAGCATTCTAAATCTTTTTCAGTTTTAAGAAAATCATTGGAAAAATAGTGTAACCACATTATGGAAAGTAGGGATAAGGTATAAAATCATGTATTAACTCTACTCTTGTTAATGTTCTGGTATATTTCTTTCCGGTGTCACCTCTGAATTTGTCTTTTTAAGATAAACTTAATCGCAGCACATGTTCTATTTTGGAGCTTTTTATCTAATTAAAATTATTTCAGAAGCATTTCCCAGGTGGCTCATAGGCTTCCTGGCCACTGTTTTAAAAGATATTTAATATTTCATGGTGTGGATTTTTTTTCAACTTTTTATTATCACAAATAATATTTTGAGCTGTTTTTATGCATAAGCTTTTTCATACTCGAGATTGTTTCTTTTGTTCACTTCTCAGTAGAGTGTAAGTGGGCCATGAACTTTCTTTTTTTAACTTATAATTATCTTAAGAACAGTGCCAATTTATAATATCTACAACAAACTATGAGGGGTACTATTTCATCATATCTGTAACAGTATTTGGCATTTCCATTTTTAAATAAGAATATCAAATGTTGGGCCGGGCGCAGTGGCTCATGCCTATAATCCCAGCACTTTAGGAGGCTGAGGCGGGAGGAGCACGAGGTCAGGAGATCGAGACCATCCTGGCTAATACAGTGAAACCCCGTCTCTACTAAAATACAAAAAAAATTAGCCAGGCTTGTTGGCGGGCACCTGTAGTCCCAGCTACTGGGGAGGCTGAAGCGGGAGAACGGTGTGAACCCGGGAGGTGGAGCTTGCAGCGAGCCGAGATGACGCCACTGCACTCCAGCCTGGGTGACAGAGCGAGACTCTGTCTCAAAAAAAAAAAAAAAATAGAATATCAAATGTTAACATGCCAAAAGTGGCACTGTTTTGTACAGTTTTCTGTACTTGTTTTACTCATGATATTTTCTCATGCGTGTAGTATCTGTTCATATCCCTGGGCCTTCTACCAAATGACTTGTGTATGTTTTCTGAAATCTAAATCTTTCCTTCTGCCAAGTCTGCAGTGTTGTAATTTTATAATCTGTAATAGCATTTAAAGTATTTGGAGTTTGTTTGTTTGTTTGTTTTTGTTTGCTTGTTTGTTTGTTTTGCTTTCTCTTGTTTAGGAAATAGTGCCGTATGCTGTAGAGTTAGGTAGTTGAAAGAATCAAAAAGGAAATAAGGTTTGGTTTGGTTTTGTAACTTCTGATTAAATAACTCACTCAGCAAATACTTGTGAGCTGTGCCAGCAGTGGTGATGAGACAGATACAGACTTGGTTTTCAAAGATTTTATAAAGTAATAATAGATGCATACAAATAAACATGTGATTAAGACTATACTATACTAGAGCATTTAGGGATGGTAAAGGTGGAACACTTACCCCAAACAAAGCAGAAACTGTTTAGAAAAGGCGTCTATCACTGTGTTTTCTCATGAGCATTTCTTCTTGTTTTTGTGTCCATTTTACACTCCAGCCTGTAGGTGTACCACATATTTAATCATTCCTCTGTGGACATGGAGGCTGTTTTCTGTTTCCCCCTTCCGTAAACAATATTACAACAGATGTCTCTGTAATGGAAATTGTAGCACAGGTCTGGATTATCTTCTCAGGGTAAATTTTTAGAAATGGCCTTATTGCATTATAGTATATGAATATTTTTGAGATTCTTGATACATAGTATCAGATGGTCTTCCAGAAAGTATATATTCCTTGTGTTTTGTTCAAAAAAGGTGGTGGGAGGTAGTGCGGTGTGGTGGTGGCAGCGACATCCATGGAGCTAGAAGTGGGCAGTGACGCCATCTGTCTCCAGCAAGTCATCCAGGATGATGTCGGATATGGTGCTGATCTTCTTGGCCAGCTTGCTGCTCCATGGTGCTCAGGTACAGGTAGCGGTTGAGCAGCTCCCCGTGCAGCTTGCAGCACAGCATTCTGGAGGGTGCGGAGGTCCACACGCAGCATCCGGAAGGTGCGGAGGTTGAGGCCTGTGTGGTGTGGCAGCACGTTCAGCAGCATCAGCAGCCTCCAGTAGGTTTTCTCCTGCATGGGCAGCAGCAGCCCGATGCCACCATCCTGGGTGGCGAACCACGCGATATGCTTATTCTCCCACCACTGACTTTTTGCTGAGCCCCTCAGTGGCTCCCTGGCACAGGGTCCTATAGAATGCGTTCATGTGGGCACCCACATGGAAGTCTGCCCAGCGCAGCAGGCACATGCCCCCAAAACTCTCCTTGGCTTCAGGCAGGTACATGTACACCATGAGGCTGCAGTCGTGGTCAGACACCAGAAAACCCAGCTGGGTGTTGTCTACCATGAAGTCCACGCTGTACACCTCCAGGGTCTTGGCATCACATGACGAGGCTCAGCGTCTTGCTCTCCTCCTGGTAACAGCAGCCAGATGCTCTTCATGAGGTCGGCTGCCAGGATGAAGTTCCTGACGCTGATCATCTGGTGGATGTAGAGCTGCCTGTCGACCATGAAGGCCATGCCCGTCAGCTCGCTGGCCCGCAGGCTTCACAGGAAAATCTTCTGGCTGATGGCCGACACCAGGTGGCCTTGCAGTGCACAGGGCAGTCACGGGCCCCTTCTGCTCCTTCTCGTAAAGGACTCTGAACTTGTTCTTGGTCAAGGGCTGGCTGGGCTCGGGCACCACCTCAGTCACATCCATGATCAAGATCCGCCCTCAGGACATGACCTCCTCCTCCTCCTGCATGAGGCAGGTCCCGGCGGCCACGCGTAGCCTTTGAAGCCTGACCTGGTCTCCTTGCTGCAGCGACACTGTCTTCGTGCTGGTCACAAGCTCCCACTTCTGCAGCTCAATCCTGGCATTGGGAATAGCCTCCCAGCAGACTAGGGAGATGAACTGGATAGATAAGGCCGCCTCCTGGGGGTGGATGCACTGCTCATCTCTCTCAATGGTCTCAAATGCCTTCTCCTCGCCAGTCATGTGGGATGCAGGTGCACAGTGTGTTGGTGCTGGTGGCCACAGCGTACATCTTGGACTCCACATGGTAAGCCACACAGTGGACCGTGCAGCACAGCGGGATCTTCCTGACAGGCCACGGGGAATCATAGGACAGGTAGGCAGGAAGGACGCTGATCCTCAGTTTGCCCTGTCTGTTGAAGTACAGGAAGCCGCGGGGACAGTTGACATTGTGGAACAGAGCGAAAGAGTTGACAGGGCCATTGATGCCCACGGGGTGCAGCCGCAGCACCCCTCAGTCTGTCGCCAGGAGCCAGTGAGGTGAGGGGCCGCAGATGAACACTCCTGAGTAGCCATAAATGTCCTCGAAGTAGTGGAAACACGCCACGCGGCCCCGGGCCCGACCCTCTCCTCTGTGCGGCCACCTGCTTTCTTCTTGGATGGCTTCGGCTTCTTCTCACGGAAGCTGATGTTGTGAAGGACCTTCTTAAAGTGGACTTTGAGATTGCCCTGGCTGAGCCGAGAGTCGTGGGGGAAGGCCTTGTAGATAAGCAGCTTTTGGTCCACATGCACCAGCAGGTAAGGTGTGCTCTGGCGGCTGCCCAGCACAACCAGCAGCACCTCCTTGACGAGAGAGGCAGCTCCTCCTGGCACATGGCCTCCTCCCTGCGGGCCTCGCCCTGTGTGGTGGGCTCTCCAAAGGAGCTGTCCATGAGGACCCGCTGCCCCACAGGGAAGTTCTTCACCAAGAACACCAGCCGCCAGTCGGGGAGCTGGCAGGTCACCATGGTGCCATTCTCCTGCAACAGCAGGCACCAGTGGATGGGCTCTGTCTGGAAGGGTACAGAGTCCCAGTCGGCAGGGGCTGGCTGCTTCTTCGGGCCACCTCCTTGCTGGGACTGAAGAGGGATCCCAAATCCCCACACAGCATTTCCTCATCACCGACTGTGGGGCTAGTCTCCGAGCCCAGGCTCTCGGCCTCCAAGCCACTGTGGCCCCCTAGCTCATCGTGAGCCCCGCTCAGGCAGCTCTCAGTGGTGAACATGCCACTGAGGTCTCGGTACAGGCACAGCGTGATCACGTTGGGCTGATGGTGCAGCGGGGGCTTGTGCAGCACCAGGTGGTCGTGGCAGCCACTATAGGAGTGTGCTTTTCAGCAGGAACATGGTGACGCGGCCGTCGGCACTCATGATGACCACGCAGGGGTTGCCTACAGTGCACTGCATGTTGCGGGTGACCAGGCCCACAGGGATGAAGTACAACTGATTCATTCCTTCCAGCAGGTGGATGCCCAGCAGCGACACTTGGACAATGTAGTGGTTGTCCCCGATGTTTTCGGCAAAGACCGTGGGGCCCTGCGTGGCAAAGCCACTGGTGTCCAGCTCCATGATCTCCTGCCCCATCTGCGGGAATATGGTTGAGTCTTCCTGGCTCAGAATCAGGAATCACTGTCTGCGGTGGTCATTGTCCGCTTCGGGGGTGCTGGGTTCCTGCTCCGTGCCCTCCCCCTTGGGATTCTCTTTCTCCTCCTTAGGCACCAGGGCGATGACTGTCCACATGTCGTAGCAGCCGGGAAGCTCAAAGGTTGTCACCACCTGGGGCTGGATGCTCTTCTGCAGCACCGACAGAGCCCCATTCTTCCTGTGGCTGGAGCAAACCACAATCTCCAGGTCCGGCTCAGGGTTGTTCTGAAACTCTTCAGACAGGAAGGCAGGCTCACCCATGGCAGCATTGGTGCAGGGTCCAATGTTAAGGATGCTGTCACACACCTCAAAGGTAGGTGGCCAGCTGTGTGCCCGACTGGGCGTCGCTGCCGTACACTTCAATCTCGTCCATGTCGTCCTGTGACACGGATTTGTCCCTGGCTGACCAGCTGGCCATGTGTCCACTCGCTTCTTCTGTGAGGGAGGCTCTTCCTTGTCAGCAGCCTCACAGATAGCACTGGCCGGGGGCTCCTGAAGCTTCTCGGTGTACTTGAGGAGGAGAGAGTTGCCCAGGCAAGAACTCAGGAACAGGTACCCAGGCTCCATGGTGACCATGCTGGTGGTGAGGACGCTGGTGGCCGCCTTGTCAAAAGTGGAACACTCGGACGCTACGCATGCCATCGGTGATGAGGGTCAGCATGTAGATCTGACTGCCCTTGAGGGAGATGACCATCTTGTCATGGGAGATGAAGGTGGCCTGGGCGCAGTCCAGGGGGATTCACACACCCAGCTGGGTGCACAGCGGGAAAGCTGCGGTGCCTGTGGTGAGGCTGCTGAGAGCCACACCGTACGGGGGAATGCTCTGGTTCAGGTATAACAGCGAGCTGACGACAAAGACCACCACCCCACCTATGGGCTTGGGTACGGCCAGAGCCTGGGTGCAGTCAAAGGGTAGCTGGTGAGAGATCAGATGACGGGGTGCACCTTCTGCGTGATGTTAGCAAGATGGCCACGATGGAGCACGTGTCCTGCCACACAGCCACGTGCCCGGGCCAGGTCTGGTTGGGCTCGAACAGGATGGGCTTGTAGTAGCCGTGCAGGAACTGCAGGGCGATGATGATGAGCAGCTTCTCATCCAGGGCCTGCACATCGATGAGGTAGCTTCTACAGGACAGGCCAGCCCACTCCTATGGAATCAAAATACGGATTTTTAAAAGATCTCCAGGTGATTTAATATAAACAAGCTTGAGAAGTTATGTTTTAGGTCAGTGCTACACCCAAAGAAATATGACAGCCACATGTATAATTTTAAATTTTCCTGTAGACATGCTAAAAAAGTAATAAAAAACATGCAGCCGCTCGTGGTGGCTCACGCCTGTAATCCCAGCACTTTGGGAGGCCAGGGTGGGCAGATCACAAGGTGAGGAGTTCGAGACCGCCATGGCCAACATGGCAAAACCCTGTGTTTACTAAAAATATAAAAATTAGCCCGGTGTGGTGGCATGCTCCTGCAGTCCCAGCTACTCAGGAGGCTGAGGCAGAATCGCTTGAACCCAGAAGGCAGAGCGTGCAGTAAGCCGAGATCACACCACTGCACTCAGCCTGGGCGAAAGAGCGAAACTCTGTCTCAAGAGAAAAAATGCAAAAAATACTTTAAATAGTATATTATAAGCCTGTATATCCCAAATTATTATCATTTTCACAGAGGACACTAACCACATTTAAGGGCTCTGCAGCCAATGGCGACTACCACATTAGACAGCACAGGCCTAGAGCACGACCTAACTATTACATTACCTTCAAAATCTCTAGTCATCTCTAGTCTATATTCAACTATGGTTTGGGGGCATAAATATTTCAGGTGCCAGAATTCAGCCTATGCCCATATTTAATGGAGAACATTTTGAATGGCTACTTTCTCAGGGCCATTGATGGGCTGAGAGCAAATTTTACAGATTTCTTACCTTGGAACTTCAGCGTCTTTGGGTTCTGATATAGAATTGTCAGCTGGGGCTCCAGTTCCTTGATTTTAGAATCCATCTTTCCCAGCTGGAAATCGGGCCTGATGTCATTCTTCTGAGTAGCCACAGAGCGAAAGGAGCACATTACACCTTCCTCATGGGGTTCCTTCAGAAGTGAACTGATGCAGCGGATGCAGCAGACACATCCACGACTTAGGTACACGGGTTTTTCAAGATAAGATAGGGAGATGAGACATCGACTCGCTTCTTGAAATTGTTCAGCCGTGACCACTCTCTATGGAAAAATGTACATGCTATTAGAGTGTCATGAGTTGAAGGACAACACTCCTTGGAAATCTTTCCTCCTTATATACATAGAGATATCAGGGCCTACTATGCACAATTACTAGTGAAACATAATGAAACACAATATAAATACATATATAAAAGACTCAGGGCCTTGAGCTTCTGATATTTTAAATGCTAGCTGGAGTGCAGTGGCGCCATCTCGGCTCACTGCAAGCTCCACCTCCTGGGTTTACGCCATTCTCCTGCCTCAGCTTCCCAAGTACCTGGGACTACAGGCGCCCACCACCACGCCTGGCTAATTTTTTGTATTTTTAGTAGAGATGGAGTTTCACTGTGTTAGCCAGGATGGTCTCAATCTCCTGACCTCGTGATCCTCCTGCCTCAGCCTCCCAAAGTGCTGGGATTACAGGCGTGAGCCACCACGTCCAGCCAGGACTTGATTGTTTCTTTGGGAAGTTGATGTCATAAAAGTGTCTATACTGGGCTGTCCTGCCACATGTGGCTCTTGAGCACCTGAAATGGGGCATATCAGAATTGAGATGTGCTTTCAGTGTAAAATGCATAATGGATTTGGAAAATGTAATGAGAAATAGAGAATGTAAATGATGTTGTTAAGAACTTTTAAAGGTTGGCTGGGTGCAGTGGCATGTGCCTGTAGTCCTAGCACCCTGGGAGGCTGAGTCGGGAGGATCGCCTGAGCCCAAGAAGTTGAAGCTACAGTGAGCTATGATCGTGCCACTGCACTCCAGCCTGGGTGATGGAGGGAGACCCTGTTTCTTAAAAACAATCTTAAAGTTAATTTCATGCTGAAATGATAACATTTTCTGTATTAAAATTTTAATTTTTTTCTTAATTTATTCTCACCTCTGCTCCACTAGGTTCTCCCCTGGCCTCCAATTGCTTCCACTGACAACTCAGTTGGAGTGAGCTCCACTTACAAGGGTTTTTGTGTAGAGTGTCCCTCCTCCCACCTTATTCACATCCTGCTTATCATTCTTAATCCAATCAGATTTTGATTTAATTATGCTATATATTAGATTTTTACTGACGTCATAAGCAGATTGCCACAAAGGAGATCGTCCTCACTAAAGGGTTTTCACAGTTAATATGGACAAATATTGCCACATCATTCTAAATTAGGTCTTGTATATTGTGGGCGTTGGTAAGATTTGGGATCAGGATTGAAACTGTTCAAACAAAACATTTGGCATCAAAATTAATTGTTATGAATGGAGCTAATTTCAAATTGTTTTTGATCATGAAAATAAAAACTCACAGTTTGATGAAGAAAATTAGTCAAACTTACTCACAGGTCTTTCCTAAAACCACACTCATTAGACCAGTCATTTATTAAAAAGGACTTACTCTTGTGAAGATCCACATTTAGAAGAGGTTGAATTCACTTCCACATAAAAATATTTTTTCTGCATTATGATTTTCTTAAGAACATTTTCTTTGGTCTAGCTTACTTTACTGTAAGAACACAGTACATAACACATATGCAAAATATGCGTTAACGGACTTGATATTATGGGTAAGGCTTCCAGTCAACAATGGGCCATTCATCCTTAAGTTATTGGGAAGTCAAAAGTTATGCACAGGTATTGGACTGCCGGGGGCTCAGTGCCCCTAAACCCCACATTTTTTAAGGGTCAGCTGTATCTAAAAATCTCAAGAACATTGCCCGTGGCCAGTATTTATAATTTTTTCTTTGCTTTTAGACAAAATCATTCCTGTACATTTAATTTCATTAATATTACTCTCTGTATTTGTAAATAGTTTGTGCTTAATCTGTAAAGTGTGAACAGGTTTTAGTTTTTGCATGACTATTGCAGACATATTGAACCACGTTTGATAAATGAAGTAATAGTGAAACTACCTAGGGTTTTCTCTCAGCTGCCTCCCTCTTCCCTGTCTCCAGGTGGCGCTGTGTGGAAGTTTATGAAGAGACCTGGTCCGGATCCAAGCTTTCTGTCCCCGTTCTACTTTCTGAAACGCCCACCAAAAGACACGGGCCCCTGGCATCTCATAACCACTCAGTTAGTCATCATTTCTGTTTTTTAATAGCTGAGGATATCCTGACTACTTGCTCTTCACAAGATTATTATAAATTATACTAGTTTAAATTCAAAGGCAAAGTTTCCCCCTTCCTGCTCCCTGGAAACCTTTATCCCTGAATGACATGGCTAAATGGCTAAGCTCTCCTGCACCCAATGCCCTGATCAAGTGTTTCTTCCTGTAGGGGCCTTTCCTTTTGCCCCAAGGCAAATCCTTTCTCTGTTGTCCTCCCCTGGCAATTTATAAACACTTGTAACAGAATCTGTTACTATTCTTATTTGTATTGATGTGGTCTTAAAAGAGTCAAACTTAGTTGAGAGCTGTATCTGTGGCCTACATTTTGTTCTGTTTGTTTTGTTTTGTTTTTCCTTTTTTTGAGACAGAGTCCCACTCCATCACCCAGGCTGGAGTGCAGTGGCATGATCTCGGCTCACTGCAACCTCCACCTCCCCGGTTCAAGCGTTTCTCGTTCCTCTCCCTCCCGCAAAGCTGGAATTACAGGCATGAGCCACCACACCCAGCTAATTTTTGTATTTTTAGTAGAGAGGGGGTTTCACCATGTTGACTGGGCTGGTCTCAAACACCTGGCCTCAAGTGATCCACCCACCTCAGCCTCCGAAAGTGTGTGGCCTACATTTTGGATATGAAATATGAAAAATATTTACCAAAAAGTAGACAACAAATAATTACTATTGGATCCACATATAATTTAATCAATCTGGTTTCCTTCATATTTCCTCTTGCTTTTCATCCTCCTTGCAGTTTCATGATTCTCTGGAGGTCATCTAAAACAATAATATAATTTAAGGAAGCAAATTTTTTTTTCTTGAGACAGGGTCTTGCTCTGTTGCCCAGGCTGGAGTGCAATGGTACAATTATGGCTCACTGTAGCCTCGAACTCCTGGGCTGAAGCCATCCTCCTGCCTCAGCCTCCCCAGTAGCTGGGACTACCAGTGTGTGCTACCAAGACTGGCTAATTTTTTAACTATTTTGTAGAGATGAGGATCTCACTATATTGCCAGAACTGGTCTTAAGCAATCTTCCCACCTTGGCCTTCCAAAGTGCTGGGATAACAGGTGTGAGCCACCATGCCTGGCAAGGAAGCAAATTTGATTTTACATCATCCAAAGAGTAACACAAAGGAAGTATATCTGAGTTGTAGTACATCAATAAGTGGAAATATTAAGATTCTATATAAATTATTTGTGATTTCCTTTCTAAGAAAGAGACTACAATTATCATTATACATGGGCATTTTCAAACATTTCCAAACTTGAGATGAAAAAAAGAAAGAAAATATGAGACAGTGACTATATTTGAGGTATATTCTTTCAACAGACTATAAACGTGCGGGGTTCACACATTTATCAGCCAAAAACAGATTCAAAATACATACATTCTTAGTCTTAACAAGGGCTACAAAAAAAGTGTGGAACAGCTATCAGTAATATATTTTGTGTTAATATGAATTCTAGGCTTGGATAAAACATGCAGGGTATGATTACAACTTTAGATGTCTTCTTTTTAAATGTTATTTCTCTTTTAGGACTTCGGTCTGATTAAATGTTATTTCTTTTTTAGGACTTTGGTCTGATTAATAGATGTCTTCTTTTTTCTGGTTTCTTGTTTCGTTTTGTTTTGTTTTGAGACTGGGTCTCTGTCGCCCACTGCTGCTAGAATGCAGTGGCATAATCATGGCTTACTGTAACGTTAACTACATGGGCTCAGGTGATCCACCTGAGCCTCCCAAGAAGCTGGGACCACAGGCACATGCCACCATGCCCAACGAACTTTTTCTATTTTTTGTAGAGATGGGGGTCTCACCATGTTGCCCTGGCTGGTCTAGAACCCCTGGCTCAAGTGATCCTCCTGCCTTGGCCTCCCAAAGTGCTGAGATTACAGGTGTGAGCTGCCACACCTGATTGAGATTTCTTAGTTCTATTATATTCTCTAATATAAAAAAAGAAAGGTCATCGTCCAGTTTTAAGTGGTCTCACGACAATTTCTTTTTTTTTTAATTTTTTTTTTATTATACTTTAAGTTCTGGGGTACATATGCAGAACATGCAGGTTTGTTACATACGTATACGCGTGCCATGGTGGTTTGCTGCACCCATCAATCCATCATCTACATTGGGTATTTCTCCTAATGCTCTCCCTCTCCCAGCCCCCAACCCCATGACAGGCCCCGGTGTATGATGTTCTATGTTCATGTGTTATTGTTCAACTCCCCTTATGAGCGAGAACATGCAGTGTTTGGTTTTCTGTTCTTGTGTTAGTTTACTGAGAATGATGGTTCCCAGCTTAATCCATGTCCCTGCAAAGGACATGAACTCATCCTTTTTTATGACTGCATAGTATTCCATGGTGTGTATGTGCCACATTTTCTTTATCCAGTCTACCATTGATGGGCATTTGGGTTGGTTCCAAGTCTTTGCTATTGTGAATAGTACCGCAATAAAAATACGTGTGCATGTGTCTTTATAGTAGAATGATTTATAATCCTTTAGGTATATACCCAGTAATGGGATTGCTGGGTCAAATAGTATTTCTGGTTCTAGATCCTTGAGGATTCGCCACACTGTCTTCCACAATGACTGAACTTATTTACACTCCCACCAACAGTATAAAAGTGTTCCTATTTCTCCACATCCTCCCCAGCATCTGTTGTTTCCTGACTTTTTAATGATCGCCATTCTAACTGGCGTGAAATGGTATCTCATTGTGGTTTTGGTTTGCATTTCTCTAATGACCAGTGATGATGAGCTTTTTTTCATATGTTTCTTGGCCGCATAAATGGGTAGACTGCATGTTTCTAAGGAATTGTTTCATTTTATCTGGGCTAACCAACTTGTTGGCATACAAATGTTTATAGTATTCTCTTAAAATCTTTTTAATTTTTATAAAACCAGTATTGAGGCAAGGCTCAGTGGCTCATGCCTGTAATCGCAGCACTTTGGGAGGCTGAATCACTTGAACCCAGTGTTTGAGACCAGCCTGCGCAACATGGTGAAACCCTGTCTCTAACAAAAACAACAAACAGACAAAAACTAGCCAGGCATGGTGGTGTATGCTTGTAGCTACTCAGCAGGCAGTGAATGCACTCCAGCCTGGTTGACAGTGGTATCTTGTCAAAAAAAAAAATGTAGGGCCGGGCACGGTGGCTCATGCCTGTAATCCCAGCACTTTGGGAGGTCGAGGCGGGTGGATCACAAAGTCAGGAGATCGAGACCATCCTGGCTAACACAGTGAAACCCCATCTCTACTAAAAATACAAAAATTAGCTGGGAGAGGTGGTGGCCACCTGTAGTCCCAGCTACTCGCGAGGCTGAGGCAGGAGAATGGCATGAACCTGGGAGTCAGAGCTTGCAGTGAGCCGAGATCACGCCACTGCACTCCAGCCTGGGCAACAGAGTGAGACTCTGTCTCAAAAAAAAATAAAAATAAAAATAAAAATGTAGTGATGTACGCACTTTTATTTCTGACTGTAGGAATTTGAACTTTCTTTTCTTTTTTGCACTTGGATGTTCTGTACATGTATCCCAGAACTTAGAGTCTAAACAAAAAAAAGAAACATGCAGTCTACCAACTGTGAGTCAAGAGGAAGGAAACAACAGACCTGGAACTGGTAAGAAGACTGAATCAATAATCAAAAACTTGTCGATAAAGAAGAGCCCTTCAGCAGGGACACAGGCCACATGGACCTGTCCTGCCTGGCCCCTGAGGCTGCATTTACCCACCTGCCCCTAGAAGGTGGGCCATCAGGGTAACTAGAAGCTGCTAGCCATCAGTTTGCACAGTGAGGCCCCTCCGAGCCCCTTCCATCAGACCTGCTGTGAGCAACAACCTGTGGCTGTGGCTGTGGCTGTGACTGGCAGAGGTGTCTGGGGTGGGGCCAAAGTAGTCCCTTGGAGCCCTCACACACTATTGATGGGAATGTAAATTAGTACAACCACTATGGAGAACAGTGTGAAGACTCCTCAAAAAACTACAATTGGGGCCACCATGTGATCCAGCAATCCCACTGTTGGGCATATATCCAAAAGAAAGAAAATCACTATATTGAAGAGATATTTGCACTCTCGTATTTATTGCAGCACTAGTCACAATAGCCAAGATGTGGAAGCAACCTAAGTGTCCATCAACGAATGAATGGATAAAGCAAATGTGATGTATATGCACAATGGAATACTATTCAGGCATAAAAAAGGAGATCATGTCATTTGCAACAACATGGATGGAAATGAAGATTATTATGTCAAGTGAAATAAGCTAGTCACAGAAAGACAAACATCACATGTTCTCACTTATTTGTGGGATCTAAAAATCAAAACAGTTGAACTCATGGACATAGGAAACAGAAGGATGGTTATGAGAGGCTGGGGAGGGTATTGTGGAGCTGGGAGGGAGGTGAGGATGGTTAATGGGTACAAAAAAACAGAATGAATAAAACATACTATTTGATAGCACAACAGGGTGACTACAGTCAATATTAATTGTACATTAAAAAACAAACAAACACAAAGTTGCCCCTTGGCTTTGCTGCTTTGGGGGAGAGTTGCACAAATTGGACTAGTGGCCCAGCTCCCTGGGCGATCATCCTGTGCTGGCCAGGGTATGCCAACCTTATCTGTCTGGAAGTTCGGGGTGGCAGGACTCTGACCCTGCCCCTGGTAAGGGGCTTCCCCAACCAGTGCCATTGAAGGGGGCACCCTGGGTGTGAGCCTGAAAGCTCCAGCTCTCTGTCTTGCCATGTGAATGTGTTCTTTGGGCCACAAGCCCCCACCTCGCTCCTGCCTCACTCCTGGGAACAACGAAGGTGGACAATTGCTCTAGGGGCTGCAGAGAGAAAGCTAAGTGGACTGAGTAGGGGCCTGTGAAGGGGGCAGGAGGATAGACTTTCAAAGGGTAAGGAGTGGGCAGCTTAAGGTTGCAATGGCAGAGGGAGCTCTGACCCAGGACCTGAACTGCAGCCAGCTCTTGGGGTGTGGACCACCCAGCTCTGCAGCTGACCCCTCCACTGACCAAACGGGAGAGGAGTGAGCGTTCTCCCCTGTGCATATTGTTTAGCCTTCGCTAAAGGGGTGAAGAGAAGTGTGAGTCTCCTGGGTCAGGGGAGGCTGCCTTTTCTAGTGCTCGTGACTTTTTTTTTTTTTTGCCCTGTCACCCAGGCTGGAGTGCAATGGCACGATCTCAGCTCACTGCAAACTTCGCCTCCTGGGTTCAAACGATTCTCCTGCCTAAGCCTCCTGACTAGCTGGGATTACAGGAGCCCGCCATCACACCCAGCTAATTTTTGTATTTTTAGCAGAGACGGGGTTTCACCATGTTGGCCAGGCTGGTGTCAAACTCCTGACTTCAGATTATCCACCCACCTTGGCCTCCCAAAGTGTTGGGATTACAGGCATGAGCCACTGTGCCCAGCCTCATGACTTCTTATTCCTGGTCCCATACCTGGATTTGTCTCCATCCGTTTTCCGATTTTTAATAGTTTGTTTTATCTTTTGGGTTTTTCATCTAACTCCTCTCGTAGACCTCATTGCTCAGAGTGCACTGTTAGGGCAAGGTTCTGCCACTGCCACCCTCCATGAGTAGATTTCTCCCTCCTGCCCTGGGGATATGGAGAGTGGCTTGTTTCTTTCCCTGTCTATCCTAGAAAGATGATTTGTGGGTTTTTGTTTTTGTTTTTGGTTTTGTTTTTTTTTTTTGTCACCAAAATGGCAGCTGGGTTGGTGTTGGGGGAATACAGCTGGCCTTGGGTGGAAGCACTCCTCCACCGTTTCTCCCTGGTTTCAACAGTGTTAGCATTTGTCCATGAAAATACAATCTTTTCTCTAAAGTGATAAGAGGTGACGGCTGGGGGGAGTGACTGCTGCTGCTGCCCCCAGCTCCTCCTTTCCCCTAGGCAGGTGTGGGGGAGATTCCTGTTGTGACTGAATGTAAGCACCCCCACCTCTGCTGCAGCCAATGTAGAGGAAGTGGGGCACCCTTCCTGTCTCTTTCTGCTCTTTACCTCCAGCTAAGAAGCTTTGGAATTAGGGGGCCCAGGGACCTGGAGAGGCCTTAACCCTGTGAGGAAGTATAGGGGGACCCCTCTCCCACCCTCATCCCCTTCTGAGAGTGGTCAATGTTTACAAGCCCCTGAGTCCCCCAGCCCAGGGACCCTGTTGCTTTCTTTCACTAGCCTCAATCTTCCTGGGCCTTCGCTGCTCCCCTGCCCTTCCTGGGGTTGGGGTCGGGGCAGGCATCGCCCTGTGTTCCCCTGTCTGCCTTGTACCCACAATCATCCCACCGCTCCACCCTGTGTGACTTCCCTTTCTTTTACCTACTCCTGTGAATACTCCCTTCTCCCAATAAAACTTGGTGTGTATTCTCAAAAAAATTGAAAAGCCCTTCACCAAATGACTCACTGGTGAATGGTACCCAACAATTAAGGAAGAATTAACACCAATCCACCTTAATCTCTTCCAAAAAAACTGAAGAGGAGGGAACACTTCTTAACTCATTACATGAGGCTTGCATGACCCTGATACCAAAAAGAGACAAAGACACTGCAAGAACAAAAAATACACAGCAGTGTCCTTTATCAATACTAATGCAAAAATAATCTACAAAATAGGTAACCTAATATAGCAGCATATTAAATTATACACCAAGAACATGGGGAATTTTTTCTCAGAATGCAGGGATAGTTCAACATATGAAAATCAGTCAATGTAGCATGCCACGTTAATAGAACAAAGGAAAAAAACACCTGGTGCAGAAAAAGCATTGACAAAATTCAGCCCTTTTTGGATAAAAAACAATCAACATGGAATATAAGAAAAATCCTTCAATATAATAAAGCCACATATGAAAACCCTATAGCTAATAGGTTAATTTTGTCATTAATAGCTAATAATGCTGAAAGACTAAAAGCTTTTCCCCTGAGATTATGATCTAGACCATGTGGTCTACTTTCATGACTTTAATAAAAAATTATGTGATTAGAACACTTAACATGAACTTTACCCCTTAACAAATTTTTCAGTGTACAAAACAGTACTTAATTGTAGGTACAATGGTGTACAGCAGATCTCTGCCACTGATTCATCTTGTTTAACTGGAACTTTCTGCCTGTTAATTAGCAACTCTCCATTTACCTCCCCACATGCTCACTGGCAACTACCATTCCACTCACGAATTCTATGTATTTGACCATTTGGGGTACCTCATATAAGTGGAATTACGCAATATTTGACCTCCTGTGACAGGTTATTTCACTGAGCATAATGTCCTCAAGGTTCATGCACATTGTTGCATATTGTAGAATATTCTGCCTTTCAAAGGCTGAATAATATTCCATGGATGCATATACCACATAGTCTTTATCCATGCATCCACTGATGGACATTAGGTTGTTTCTGTATCTTTTGTGAATAGTACTTATGAACATGGGTGTGCAGATATATCTTTTTGCGATGCCAATTTCAATTTTTTTGGATACATGCCCAGAAATGGAATTGCTAGATCACTTGCAATTTTTAACTTTTTGAAGAAGCTTCATACCGTTTTCCATAGGAGCTGCACCATTTTGCACCCTCAACAACAGTGTACAAGGGTTCCAATTTCTCCACATCCTTGATACTTGTCTTTTTTTTCTTTTTTTTATAATAGCTATCCTGACAGGTGTGAGGGGATATTTCATACTGGTTTTGATCTGCATTTTCCCGACGATTAGTGACGTTGAACAATTTTTCATATACCTCTTGGCTATTGGTTTGTGTTTTTTTGAGAAATGTCTAAGTCTTTAGCCCATTTTAATTGGCTTATTAGTTTTTTTGTTTTTGCCATTGAGTTGTGGGGGGTTATTTTATATTTTGGAATCAACCATACTTCCTCTATTCAACATAGCATTGGAAGTCCCAGCCAGAATAAGTGGGTAAGAAATAGAAATAATTAAAAGGCATTCTAATTGGAAAAGAAGTAAGATCATCTCTATTCACAGATGACATGAGATCAGGAGTTCAGGACCAGCCTGGCCAACATGACACAACCCCATCTCCACTAAAAATACAAAAATTAGCTGGAAATGGTGGTGCATGCCTGTAATCCCAGCAACTCGGGAGGCTGAGGCAGGAGAAGAATCACTTGAACCTGCGAGGTGGGGGCTGCAGTGAGTGGAGATTGTACCACCACCCTCCAGCCTGGGCAACAGAGCAAGACTCTGTCTCACAAATAAAATAAAGAATACATAAAGAAAACCTTAGCTGGGCGAGGTGGCTCACACCTGTAATCCCAGCACTTTGGGAGGCCAAGGCGGGAGAATTACCTGCGGTCAGGAGTTCAAGACCAGCCTGGTCAATATGGTGAAACCCCATCCATCTCTGCTAAAAATACAAAAAATAGCCGGGCATGGTGGTGTGTTTCTGTAATCCCAGCTACTCGGGAGGCTGAGGCAGGAGAATCGCTTGAACCCAGGAAATGGAGGTTGCAGTGAGCCAAGATTGTGCCATTGCACTCCAGCCTGGGCAACAAGAGTGAAACTCTGTCTCAAAAAAAAAAATTAAAAAAAAAAGAAAACCTTGCTGGGTTCAGTGGCTCATGCCTGTAATCCCAGCACTTTGAGAGGCTGAGACAAGGAATTACTTGAGCCCAGGTGTTCAAGACCAGCCTGGACAACATGGTAAGACCCCCACCTCTAAAAAAATGAAGTTAGCCAGGCATGGGTGGCATGTGCCTGTGGTCCCAGCTATGGTGGAGGCTGAGATGGGAGGATCACTTGAGCCCAGGAGGTTGAGGCTGCACTGAGCCATGCTTACCTCACTGCACTCCAGCCTGGGTGACAGAATGAGACCCTGTCTCTGAGAAATAAAAAGGAAATTCTACAATTCAACAGCAACAAAAATACAACATAAGGCTATTCTGGGTACACTGCCAATGAGGTAGTCCTGCTCCACAAGGAGCAGTGTAAAAAAGAATACAACATAATTTTTAAATGGATGAAGAAGTTGAATATATCTCTCTCCAAGAAGATGCACAAATGGCTATAAGCACATGAAAAAATCAACACTACTAGTGATTGTGTTAGAAGTGTAAATCAAAACTATATTGTGATACCCACTTGATACCTACTAGCCTGTCTATAATTAAAACATAAATGACAAGTATTGAAGAGGATATGGAGAAATTAACTCTCCTATGCACTGTGGAAAGAATGTAAAATAGTGCAGCTGCTGTGAACAACAGTTTGGCAGTTCTACAAAAAGTTAAACACAGAATTATCACATGCAATTCCACTTCTACATATAGACTCAAAAGAATTGAAAGTAGGGATTCAAACAGATCCTTGCACACCAGTGTTCTCAGCAGCATTATTTATAATAGCCAAGTATAGAAAGAACCTGAATGCCCATCAACAGTTGAATGGATAAACAAAATGTGGTATATATGAGTATTGGAATATTATTCAGCCTTAAAAAGGAAGGAAATTCTGATACATGCTACAATATGGATGAACCTTGAAAATGTCATACTAAGTGAAATAAACCAAAGAGGAAAATATTGTATGATTTCATTTGTATGAGGTACCTAGAATAGGCAAATTTATATAGTAAGAAAGAATAACAGAGGTTACCAGGGCCTGGAGAGAGGGAGGGATGGGGAGTTAGTTTTTAGTGGGTACATACTTCTGTTTGGAGATGATGAAAAAGTTCTGGAAATGGATAGTGGTAATGGCTGCATAACACTGTAAATGTACTTAATGCCAATGAATTGTACACTTAAAAGGGATTAAAATGGTAAATTTTATGCTATGTATGCTTTGCCACAATAAAAAATGAAGTATAAAAGAAGAATTTCTGGGCTTTCCGTTTTTTCATGTGTGTTTTTGGTTTTGTTTTTTTGTTGTTGTTTTTTTTGTTTGTTTTTGAGACAGGATCTTGCTCAGTTGCCCAGGCTAGAGTGCAGCGGCGTGATCATGGCTCACTATAGCTTTGACCTCCCAGTCACAGGTGATCCTCCCTCTTCAGCCTCCCAAGTAGCTGGGACCATACGTGTGCATCACCACACTCAGCTAATTTTTATAGAGACAAAGACTCCCTATGTTGCCCAAGCTGGTCTTGAACTCCTGGCCTCAAGTGATGCTCTCTCCTTGGCCTCCCAAAGTGCTGGGATTACAGGTGTCAGCCACCGCATAGGCTTTACTTCTAACTTCTTCTTGGCTGTAGTCCAGGAGTCTTGTTTCCTGAGTCCTCATGATCCCCATCACATGCTTCCAGGTTGATTCACTCTTTGTACAACCCTCTGACCCAGCGCTCTCCACAGCTCTGCCCTCAACTCACCACATATGGTGCTTGAAGAGCCACTTCCTTTCCTATACAGGCCACCAATGTCTTTTTGTGGCACATGAAACCCACTTCAGAGAAATGTGGGACTTTGGAATCCACGAAAGGCATAATTCACTTCACTGTCAAGGGATATAGCTCATTGGTCAGAAACTGTATCTGTTCTCTGAAGGACCATTGCATTCGGTCCCTCCTGGCTGGTTTCTGGTACCTTCTAGTCTGTCCTTCTCCCCTCCTTGT
Source organism: Homo sapiens (assembly GCF_000001405.40). Taxonomy (NCBI): domain Eukaryota; kingdom Metazoa; phylum Chordata; class Mammalia; order Primates; family Hominidae; genus Homo; species Homo sapiens. The sequence continues at coordinate 32,255,651 of NC_000022.11, read as the reverse complement.
CTGTCTTCATTTCTCTCAAATCCCCCCTCCACCTGGGCAAATCTCTTTAAAGACCCTGTCTTTGCACTCAGAGAACGCCCCATGCTCCACCTCAAATTCTCCCCTCATTTCTGGCCCTGCATCCCTCATTCTCACACTCTACCTAGGCTAGCACTCACTGGTGGAGGGCTGGGGTGCCACAGCTTTGGAGAAGAGGTTTAAAGGTCTCCATATCCAGGAGCTGGCTCTGATATCTCGCCCCACCTGCCTGAGGCTGATCATTAACCCAGAACTTATATAAAGATGGCTCATGCGTGGAATGGGTATAGCACTGCCTGCAGCCATGGCCAGTACGGTTAGCCCCAGCACCATAGCTGAGACCCCAGAGCCACCTCCATTGTCTGACCACATCCGAAATGCTGCTGACATCTCAGTCATTGTCATCTATTTTCTGGTGGTGATGGCTGTTGGGCTGTGGGTAGGTGGAATCCCAGTGGCTTTTAGGGTGGGCACAAGGTTTAGGAGGGGGTATCTTAAGGGGGGAAGGGGTGTGGTTGTGACAAAGCTTTTCACAAATGTCATTGTGTTATCAGAATCATTTTCTTGTGTGTTGCATAAATAACGCTTACAATGAACTAATGTATTCTCCTAATAACCCCATCGTGTGCACACAGCCAGCACCGGGACCTTCAGATTTACTATGCATCCCCAACACCTGGCATAATGGACAAAGAGTGTATTTTTATTATCGCATTTCTTTCGCTTTCTTTTGTTGTTTGCTCACTTTCTGATTTAGTGAGTTGGACTCTTCATTTATGTTGAATTTTTTTATTTTAATAAATTTGAGACTGCAAATTTTTTTTTTTTTTGAGACGGAGTCTTGCTCTGTCGTCCAGGCTGGAGTGCAGTGGCGCTTGCTTGGCTCACTGCAAGCTCCGCCTCCTGGGTTCACGCCATTCTCCTGCCTCAGCCTCCCAAGTAGCTGGGACTACAGGCATGCGCCACCACGCCCGGCTAACTTTTTGTATTTTTAGTAGAGACGGGGTTTCACCATGTTGGCCAGGATGGTCTCGATCTCTTGACCTTGTGATCCACCCGCCTCGGCCCTCCAAAGTGCTGGAATTACAGGCGTGAGCCACCGTGCCCGGCCGAGACTGCAAATTTTATTGCAAGCATGGCTCAATGATACCTCACATGGTTTTCATAAGTGAGAATAATCAGAGCAGTTAAGATAGAAGTTAAGGATTATGATTTTTTTAAGTTCTTCCAGCCCTGGGTTTTTACAAAGCGACTGTTTTTGAAGTCCTTTAAAATTTGATGCTATAGAACACTTTCCAGCGAAATGTTTCTCTCTGTAGGAGTGCTGAAGTCACCCCTCTCAGCACCCTGGCCAGAGCCTCTGGGGTGTCTGGGTGCACTTGCTGGGGCTTGACCCTCACCTGTCTTCCCTTCTGCTCAGGCGATGCTGAAGACCAACCGAGGTACTATAGGAGGCTTCTTCCTCGCTGGTCGTGATATGGCCTGGTGGCCGGTAAGTGGATCGAAGTTTTCTGGAGATAAATTTCCTGTGTGTGTGCTTAAAACTGAATGTAGGCTGGGTGCGGTGTCTCACGCCTGTAATCCCAGCACTTTGGGAGGCCAAGGCTGGCAGATCATCTGAGGTCAGGAGTTCGAGACCAGCCTGACTAACATGGTGAAACCATCTCTACTAAAAATACAAAAATTAGCTGGACGTGGTGGTGTGTATGCCTGTAATCCCAGCTACTCAGGAGGCTGAGGCAGGATAATCACTTGAACCTGGGAGGCAGAGGTTGCAGTGAGCCTAGATCACACCACTGCACTCCAGCCTGGGCAACAAGAATGAAACTCCATCTCAAAAAAAAAAAAGTGAATGTAGACAACATTGGGAATGTTGATCATTTCTGATGTACATTGGTTGCCTACTCGCTGGGGCTCCTTTCCTAAATCCCCGACTTCATGGCTCCTCTCTGTAATTCCAGGACATTACAATATGTCACCTATTATGACAGCCGGTTCAGTCTGGCACTGAAGGACCCCAGCTCAGCCCCACCTTATATTCTTTTCTTCTGCTCCTTATCAAGAGTCTTCTCCTGGCTTCTTACAAGCTCTGCGCATTCCTGCTTTGTTGCCAGTCCTGAGCTGATGCTGGCCCTCTTGTTAGGATTGGCCTCCCCTTGTCTGCTGTCCTCTTTCAATGCCTCACCTCAGCCCTTTCTCATCTGAGGAGCCTCCCGGCTCTCTCCATGGGTCCCTATGTCCCATGCAGTTATTGGTTGTGTTCCCTGTGATGGTGCTAATGCTGATGCCTCTTGATTCTTGCCCAGTGGGTGTTCTTGTGGGGTTTTGATGTGTGACCCCCTCAGCCAGGGTCCCACTGCAGCAGAGGCTGTATCTTCCCCTCTGCACCTGGAGAGTGTCAGCCCAGCATCACATTATACAGTGGGTGCTTAGCAAATGCTTCCTTCACAGATCTGACTCATTTTCTAAATGGTATGAGGGGAAGTGGAGATGGGCAACTGTCCTGGCTGGGGTGACTGAAGCAGAACAACTGGAAGTTTGAAATGAATTTTATTTGGGACATCCAATCAGACATTGCATTTTTAGGACTGTTTAGTGAAACATGCAAGGAGGCTCAAGCGATCTTGAAGCCAAAAACCAGCTCAATCCCATCCTCTGGCCCCATGTAGCTGAGCAGAAAAAGTGATTTTACAGAGGCCTTAAAAAGTGGGAAGAGCCACACCCCAATTCTCTTCTGCTAGGACTGGTGCTCATCTACGTCCACTCAAGAGACCTCTCTTGGTCTCTGGGTCTTTAGAACAGCAGACACTGTAATGGCGAGGGGATGAATGAAAAGAGTGTCCTGTGGCTGGGAGGATGGAGAGAAACTCCCTCCTAGCCAGCTTGGGGTCTTTGCATATGATTAAAGGGAGAAGAGCTGATGGGAGATCTGGCAGTGCTTGGCCAAGGACAGGCTCAACTCAGAGCATTTTAGTAGATTGACCAATGCTCCCCCAAGACAGGGGCCAACGAGCTTTTCTGTAAAAGGCCAGATTGTAAATACTTTAGAGTTTTCTAGACATATAGTCTATTGCAGCCACAGAACCCCGCTGTTGTAGGACAAAAAGCAGCCCAAGTCCATATGGAAAACCAATGAGCACGGCTGTGTTCCAGACAATGAAATTTGAATCATACAATTTCACAAGTTTACAATTTCACATTTCACAAAATATTATGCTTACTTAGATTGTTTACCATTATTTAACAATGCAAAAATGTAAAAAAACATTCTTGGCTCGTGGGCCATTCAGAAACTGACTGTGGGCTGGATTAGCCCAGGGGCCATTGTTTGCTTGACTCCTGCTCTGAGGAGTAGTGACTGAAACATCTCAGCATCTGTCTATTTTCTTTTTTTTTTTTTTTTTGAGACAGAGTCTTGCTCTGTCACCCAGGCTGGAGTGCAGTGGCGCGATCTCCGCTCACTGCAGGCTCCACCCCCTGGGTTCATGCCATTCTCCTGCCTCAGCCTCCAGAGCAGCAGGGACTACAGGCGCCCACCACCACGCCCGGCTGATTTTTTTGTATTTTGAGTAAAGATGGGGTCTCACCGTGTTAGCCAGGATGGTCTTGATCTCCTGACCTTGTGATCCACCCGCCTCAGCCTCCCAAAGTGCTGGGATTACAGGCGTGAGCCACCACGCCCAGCTACATCTGTCTATTTTCAAGAAGTCTGATTTGGATCTTTTAACTCCAACCCTAGTCTGTTCTCTTGCATTCCAGATGGGCGCCTCTCTCTTTGCCAGTAACATCGGCAGCAACCACTATGTGGGGCTGGCTGGGACAGGAGCAGCTTCAGGAGTCGCCACCGTAACATTTGAATGGACTGTAAGTGACATCATAGGCTTTTTCCTTCAAATCAAAACCATATCCAGTGTCTTAGTATGTTTTATGCTGCTATGACAGAATATCACAGGCTGGATAATTTATAAAGAACAGAAATGTATCTCTGACAGCTCTGAAGGCTGGGAAGTGCAAGGGCTGAGGGACCCACATCTGGCAAGGGCTTCTTGCTTCATCGTCCCATGGTGGAAGGTGGAAGGTGGAAGGGCAATAGGGCACGAGAGAGAGAGAGAGAGAGAGAGAGGGATGGAGGATGAGAGAGAGAGAGAAAGAGACAGAGACAGAGACAGAAGAGAAAAGGGGAGGAGAGGGTGAAACTCATTTTTTAAAATCAGGAACCCACTCCTACTATAACTAACCCATTATCTCAATAATGGGATCCATCTGTTTATGAGGGAAGAGCCCTCATAACCTAATCACCCCTTAATGGTCTAACCTCTCAATACTGTTGCATTGGGGATTAAGTTTCCAACACATGAACTTGGTGGTACACGTTGAAACCATAGCATCCAGGTATATTAATGGAAGTCATATCCCAGGTTTTTCTGGGTGTCTGTATAGAATGTTCTCCTCTTTGGTTTTTTTTTTTTTTTTTTTTTTTTTTTGCTTATTTGTTTGTTGTTGTCTTCTTTGTCAATTTTAAGTTCTGGGATACATGTGCAGAACCTGCAGGTTTGTTACATAGGTATACATGTGTCATGGTGGTTTGCTGCACCTGTGAACCCATCATCTAGGTTTTAAGCCATGCATGCATCAGGTATTTGTTCTAATGCTCTCCCTCTCCTTGCCCCTCACCCCCTGACAGGCCCCAGTGTGTGATGTTCCCCTCCCTGTGTCCATGTGTTCTCATTGTTCAACTCCTACTTATGAATGAGAACATGTGGTGTTTGATTTCCTGTTCCTGGGTTAGTTTGCTGAGAATGAGGGCTTTCCAGCTTCATCCATGTCCCTGCAAAGGACATGAACTCATCCTTTTTTATGGCTGTGTAGTATTCTATGGTATATATGTGCCACATTTTCTTTATCCAGTCTATCATTGTTGAGCATTTGGGTTGATTCCAAGTATTTGCTATTGTAAATAGTGCTGCAATAAACATACATGTGCATGTGTGTTTATAGTAGAATGATTTATAATCCTTTGGGTATATACCCAGTAATGGGATTGATGGGTCAAATGGTATTTCTGGTTCTAGATCCTTGAGGAATCACCACACTGCCTTCCACAATGTTTGAACTAATTTGCACTCCCACAGCCTTGCTCTGTTCCCCAGGCTGGAGTGCAGTAGCAGGATCATGGCTCACTGACCTCCTGGGCTCAAGCAATCCTCCCACCACAGCCTCCCATGTAGCTGGGACCACAGGTGTGCACCACCATGCCCAGCTAGGTTTTTGGTTTTTTGTAGATATGGGGTTCTCCCTATGTTGCCCAGGCTGGTCTCTTAACTCCTGAGGTCTGTAAGCCTCTCACCTCAGCCTCCCAAAATGCTGGGATCACAGGTGTGAGTCACTGCACCCAGCCTCCACCTCTTGTTTGACCTTCAGCACTTCTGTGGTCCCATTCTGCCTGGCCCATTCCATGCACATCACTGCTCACCTCTAAGATTTTTCTCAAGCAGTTATTCCCACCAGGAATGTCATTTCTATATGCCTCAATCCCTATGTTCACTTGAGCATTTTAGCTCTCCCTTTCATCTCTCCTCCCTGAGTCCCCACTATGTGTCCAGCCCATCCTTTAGCACAGGGGTGTCCAATCTTTTGACTGCCCTGGACCACACTAGAAGAAGAAGAATTATCTTGGACCACACATAAAATACACTAAGAATAGCTGATGACCTAAAAAAAAAATCACCAAAAAACCTTATTATTTTTTAAGAAAGTTTACAAATTTGTGTTGGGCCACATTCAAAGCCAGCTTGGGCCACAGGTTGGACAAGTTTGCTCTAGCACAAGGCTGGACATGTGATGGATGTGCCACCAACAGCTTTTGAGTTGCCTGAGTTTTTCTGTTCTTTTGTCTTACTCTTTCTGGTGTTTTCATGTACATGCATGTGCATATTCGGCAGAAGACGATGCCTGTGTAAAGGAAAGTTGGATCATAGTGAAAGTTTAAACAGACCATTCCCTGGTTGAACTCAGAAAGTGACCTTGAGAGATCACACATACCTGTGCCCCTCCCCTGCTGAAGATTTTGCCCCTACATTTACTTCAGTAGTATCCAGGAGTCCAGGATGGACCCAGCCTCCAGATATGCCCTATGGCTGGAGCTTTGTTTTAATAGTGCCATGGACACCAGAATGAAGCCAGTCTCCAGAGGCATGGCCAGAATGACCTATGGACCAAGTGGGTGTGATGAGCAGGCTGCAGAGAACTGAGCTGCTCCCCCTGTCACTGTGACCTTGGGCCCCCTTAATCTCTGTAAGGCTCAAGTTCCCCCTCTCTAAGATAAGAATAACTGTGCTTCTCATATCTGCCTCACTTAGGCTGAGAGCAGCGTAAGTGATCTATGTGAAGACTCTCTGTAAAAATTGCACATTAATGCTAGATTATATTATTATCGTCACTGTATGTGGGAAGACTTGGGGAGCACTGGTGATATTCTTCTATCTCCAGGTTCCTTTCTCATTGCTTTGTCACTCCATTTATCATTTATGCAATTCAAGAAAAATTCCCTTTGGCAAAGATTGTATGACCTTCCAGGGGTTCCACTGGGATCAGATCCCTTATCTTCTTTCCCTTTTTCACCACAATTTAATCCTCAGAAAATGGTGGCCCCTGAGTCATAGAAACAGAAAAAAAGGAACTCACAATTGTCTTGGGATTATAGTTGTTTGAATGGGACAGGATTGAGCCAACTTTTTTTTTTAATTTCCAGACTCAGAGGTCATAGAAGGAGAAGGTCCACAAGCCAAGCCTCTTTAATGTCTCACTGTCTCTTATTTTGGTTCCTTGTAGTCCTCAGTAATGTTGCTGATTCTTGGGTGGATCTTTGTCCCTATCTACATCAAGTCGGGGGTGAGTATCTGTTACCAAAATGCCAGAGTTCAGTTCTAGGCACTGCTGCTCACTGCACAGAAGATCAATCACTGAGACAATGAGTATTGCCAGGAAAAAAGGCTTTATTTAGGTGCCACAGCAGAGGAGATGGGAGCTCAGTCTCAAATCCATCTTCCTGATGGACTAAAATTAGGGGTTTATATAACAGGGAAGATATGTAACCATGTGTGGGAAAACAGGAATTAGGGGTGGGGATAAGGAAGAGAAGTCGGTCAACAGGAAGCTGGTGGTGGGTTAGACAATTATAATGGGCAAGGGGTCTGGCTTCTCATTGTCCAGGTGTGTTGATCTAGTGAGTTTCAGCTCTTTGACCCTATCTGGGAGAACTGATGGTTGATTTCCTGAGAGAGGAACTCAGATAAGACAAAGGTAACTTTCTCAAGTTGTAACACTGGGAGGATCAGTTTCTATGCTTATTCAAATAAACCACAGACATCAGTTCTATGGGACAACTGGGCCAGTTCCGTATCCACAGTGTTTGGGTAAATCTGTCAGGCATTCATTTATTCACTTATTTTTTCTCTTCAATCATGAAACCTGGGTCCCTGCCCTTCACCTGGCCTATTGCTAGAAATATACAGAAGACAAAAAAATCAAATTTCTTGCCTAGAGAGGTTTCCAGTATAGAATGTGGCTGCAGCCAGTGGGGAAATCAATGGTGCCCCTGCATAATGACCCTGGAGCAGAGATGACAGGTTTGATGGCAGAGTAAAAGTGAAGGCAATGGAGGGGGAAGCATTATGATCAGCTCTAAGACTTGAAGCTCGAGGGTCGGAGTGCCCGAGGCCACCATTAATGGAGCCAGGGATTCCAGATCAGAGGCAAATGATGGATGACAAGGAGAATGATGACTTCACTTATGTTTGGTGCATTCAAGGCACTAAGGTGGAGACACCCAACCGGCAGTGGGAAAGTGAGATCTGCAGATTGGTCAGGAGAGAGACCTTGGCTGGAGTTATCCATGGGGGGGTCCTTCTCTTCAGAAGCATGGTTTAAGCACCCACCCTCTGCCAGTCACTGTGCATGGCATCAGGGATGCCTCTATGAGTAAGAAGCCATGGTTCCATCACCAGGAAGGGGCCACACACAGGACTTTCACTCACAGGTGCTTAGGAAATGCTGAATAATCTGAACGCACAGGGCCCTAAGGGTAAGTTAAGTCCCTGTCAATGTCTGTCTCTGCAGGTGATGACCATGCCGGAATATCTCAAGAAGCGGTTTGGTGGGGAGCGACTCCAGGTCTACCTCTCCATCCTCTCCCTCTTCATCTGTGTGGTTTTGTTAATTTCTGTGAGTTCAGAGCCTCCTGGCATTTTAGCTTCAAGAGGTTGGTCAGATGGGGCCAGAGTGCTAATATCAGAGAGCTGGATGTGTAGACTGTCAACAGCCTTTAAAGGGTCAAGGATATGGATGTCTTAAATTCTCAGGACTGTCTCTTCAAAGTCTTCATGAGGAAAAAGGGAGCTTCAAAGACCCTGTGTTCGTAGAGTGGTAGACTTTTAAGTCATGAGAGGCTCTGGGTATAAATCTCCCCTCTCATCAAGGATATGAAAAAATGGATGTAAAGAAAGAACAAAACGTCTCATTCAAGTAACACAGCTCTTTAGTAGTAAAGAGAAGGACTTGGTCGCCTGCCTTTTCCATTGCAAGATAACCTTTATATTCTTTCTCAGACCATGTCCAGATTTATATTTTCATTTTCAGTTTTATTATCTGACACGTGAACCACAAGGAAAGTACTTTGTATTATTATACTGATTTTTCTTAAGTTCACTCTATCTAAGACCACCATGGTAAGACATATGTCACAAATAAGTGTTAAAAAATTTTAAAGTACATTTTAAGTACTTTTTTATAAAGTTACATTTTTTTGGGCCTGGTGCAGTGGCGCACACTTGTAATCCCAGCACTTTGGGAGGCTGAGGCAGGTGGATCACTTGAGGTCAGGAGTTTGAGACCAGCCTGGCCAACATGGTAAAACCCCATCTCTATTAAAAATACAAAAATTAGCCAGGCATGGTGATGCACACCAGTAATCCCAGCTACTCAGGAGGCTGAGGCAGGAGAATAGCTTGAACACGGGAGGCAGAGGTTGCAGTGAGCCAAGATCACACCACTGCACTCCAGTCTGGGAGACAGAGTGAGACTCCATCTCAAAAATAAATAAATAAACAAACAAACATTACATTTTTGGGAGATAATCAGTGAGGAAAGAAGGAAGGAATATGAAGATTCAGCAGCACATGTAAAAAACAAAGAGTAACTTATTTGCTCCTCATGTATCGGTGACTAATGAAATAATCTCAAGTTTACAGTCTAGGCAGGTGTCTCAGAGTTCATGAGAGAAAAGGCTGACCTTTCCTATTGCTCCTCTGTTGAACCGAGTTGTTGTTGGAAGTGAACTAGCTGCTTAGGTTAGATGGCATGAGCCTTCCCAATGCAACGTGAGCATTGCCCAGCACTGACTGCATATTATTGAGCTTTGTGTGAGCGTAGCAAAGATTCTTGAGCCACGGGAGTTCACCATCTGGCTAAGGAAATAAGAATTCTGCACATGAAACAATTAGTCCCATATGACAATACATGTAAATGTACTAAAATACATGCTGAACTAGAGTGCATGGACAAGTACAGAAAATGTGCCGTGCACACCCGGAGAAGAGTATGCTCCCTGATGGATGGCATTGGGGGTCATACTCTTGGAGAGGGCACTTAAGTATTCCCCAGGATGGGAAGGTTAGGCGAGGCAGAGGGAAGCAGAGAAGCTCACAGGTGTCAGGGGCTTAGAGTTCACACGTCTCTTAAATCGTTGGACTTGCTAGTCTCCCAATTGTCCTCTGGTGCTGACATCTACAGCTTTACAGTTCTGAAGAGCATGAGCAGGCCGGGCGCAGTGGCTCACGCCTGTAATCCCAACACTCTGGGAGGCCGAGGCAGGCAGATCATGAGGTCAAGAGATGGAGACCATCCTGACCAACATGGTGAAACCTCGTCTCTACTAAACATACAAAAATTAGCTGGGCATTGTGGCATGCACCTGTAGTCCCAGCTACTCAGGAGGCTGAGGCAGGAGAATTGCTTGAACCCGGGAGGCAGAGGTTGCAGTGAACCGAGATCGCGCGACTGCACTCCGGCCTAGTGACAAGAGCGAGACTCCGTCTCAAAAAAGTAGATAAATAAAATTTTTATTTAAAAAAGAGCATGAGAAGGCATGAAGGCATAGAACAGAGGACAATGCACAGTGAAAAGGGGCCCCCGAAGGATGCAACCTCCCAGACTGGAGGGTCACTGGTGGATGGGGAGGGACAGAATGTTGGTGAGCTAGGTGTGGGTGCAGGGAAGCCATGTGCAGGTCTGTGGCTGTGCAGAGTCTGTGGCTGGCTGGAAAGACACCTTAGCAGGAGTCCATTCTTGCCTGCAGGTTTATGTCTTAAGTGACATTAATAATGATTAACCTTAGACATGACCTTTTGTGTACTCTTACACTCTGACACACGGATTGTCTCCTAGTTACTTATTAAACAGATCGTTATGAGACGTTAGGACAGGACAGTTTTCATAACTCTCCTCTGCCCAGGTTGGAAAAAGATCATCTTGTTCACTGGTTCTCAACCTGCAATAACATATGTATTGAGATTTGATATAAACTATTATCTAATCTACAGTCTTTATTCAGATATTGACTATTGTTTTAATACAGTCCTTTATAGCAAAAGAAAATCCTGATCCTTGCAATTCCTCTTTATTATGAGAAATATTTTACAGTCATTGTTAGTGTAATTAATGCCACTGAATTATATACTTAAATGGTTAAAATGGTAAATTTTATGTCATATATGTTTCATCACAATAAAAGAAAAATGTCATTGATGGCTGAGCCCAGTGACTTCTGCCTGTAATCCCAGCACTTTGGGAGGCTGAGGCAGGAGGATCACTGGAGGCCAGGAGTTCCAGACCTGCCTGGGCTAAATAGTGAGACCCTTATCTCTACCAAAAAAAAAATTATTTAGCCAGGTATGGGGGCACACATTTATTGTCCCAGCTACTTTGGCTGAGGCAGAAGGATCACTTGAACCCAGGAGCTAAGTTATAATGAGCTAAGATCATGCCATTGCACCACAGCGTGAGTGACCTGGAGTAGTCCCTATTTCTTTAGGAAAAAATTCATTGATAATATGTCAACTACTTACATACAATTTTAAAACCATGGATTTAATTCCTTAATAGTACTATATAATAGAAACAAAGGTCAAAGAATCCATAATAAGATAGTGTGTTTTAATATGAAAATGATTAAGTAGAACTACACATGAAGTCAAAATGCTGTGGTGTAATACTCGCCCCTCTGTGGATGAGGATAAAGCAGTATGAGTGAAGACAGCTATAAATGCAGGCAGAGGCAGATATCACACGTGGCACCTCCACAGGTAACACTCTTTTTCTGAAATGCTGAACATTTTTTTAAAAGTGAAATCTTCCCTCAATATTAGTTGGTATTCCTGGGAAACCCCAATGTGCAATAGAGTTACAGAAAGTACTTTGCATTTGTACAACCGAGTTGGGATCTAGGCTCAGAAAATCAAGAACAGGTTTTTGGCCAACATCAGTATCGCATGGGATGATAAAATGTCAGATTTTATTTCAAATCTTAGAGAAAAATACAACCGTCTCCTGCTACACCTGTTTCTAGCCCCAACTTCAACACAGAAACAGAGACAGAGTCTCACTCTATCTTCCAGGCTGGAGTGCAGTGGCACAATCTCAGCTCACTGCAACCTCTGCCTCCCAGGTTCAAGTGATTCTCCTGCCTCAGCCTCCCCAGTAGCCAGGATTACAGGCATGCACCAACACGCTCGGCTAATTTTTTTCTATTTTTAGTAGAGATGGGGTTTCACCATGTTGGCTAGGCTGGGCTCAAACTCCTGACCTCAAATGATCCACCCTGCTTGGCCTCCCAAAGTGTCTCTCATATGTTTTTAACTATTTGAAATTGTTACATATGTCATTGCCCTTTAACCCCAATAATTTCAATGTAAAATTTCCCCCAGATTTAACACTCATTGATGATTCTACCTGATCCAGTGATTTTTACCTGATCCAGTCTTTACTGTGGCAGTGTAAAATGATGGTTTTTTAAACTGAGCCTTCCCTGTATATTGTTATTCCTAGGAGCAGGGATAATTTCTTGCAAAACCAATTGGAATTATCAACTCAAGTAAACATAACATGGATACACTAATCTACCATTTAAATTCCAACTTTGTAAATTGACCCAGTAATACCTTTTTTAATCATCTTTTCTTCTCCAGTACAGGATGCGGTCTAGGGTCAGGTACTACATTCACTTGCCAAGTGTCTTTAGCCTCCTTTCATCTGGAACATTTCCATACCCTTTTTCTGTCTTTGATGATACTGACAATTTGAAGGATAGAGTCCCTACTCCACCCTTCTTAATATGACAATTTTTCTTTTGGATTTGCCTGATATTTCTTCATGGTTGGATTCACGTTATGCATTCTTCTTGGCTGGAATACTGCATAAGTGATGTATCCTACTAAAAGTATCCTATCTAGAAGCATTCAATGCCCGTCTGTTCCTCAATGGTGATGTTAATTTTAATCACCTGGTCAAAGTATTGCCCAGTTTCTCCACTATAGAATTACTGTTTTATTTTCCCCTGTAACCAATAAGCAGTCTGTGACAGATCCTTTAAACCACTGAAATATCCAGTTCCTCTTCAAATTTTTCCACTAGATTTAGCATTCATAAATGGTTCTTATCAGATCCAATCTTTACTATGATGGTTGCCAAATAATAATTTTCCAAAACTCCTAGCACTCCTTCCACAGTTCCCAGACAGCATTCAGCAGGCTACTGAGGGCAGGAGTCTTCCCTTCTCTATTTATCTATTACTGATATGGACTGATACATTCCTATTTATCATTGGTTTACCAATATTATTATATGCAGTTATTTTGATACTTTTTTTTTTGAGACGGAGTCTCACTCTGTCGCCCAGGCTGGAGTGCAGTGGTGTGACCTCAGTTCACTGCAACCTCTGCCTGCCAGGTTCAAGCAATTCTCCTGCCTCAGCCTCCTAAGTAGCTGGGACTACAGGCACGCGCCACCATACCTGGCTAATTTTTTGTATTTTTAGTAGAGATAGGGTTTCGCCATGCTTGTCAGGCTGGTCTCGAACTCCTGATCTCGTGATCTGCCCGCCTTGGCCTCCCAAAGTGCTGGGATTACAGGCATGAGCCACCACGCCCAGCCAGTTATTTTGATACTTACACCACATTTGGCCAGTGAGAGTTCCTCAAACTGGATTCTGTGTAAAGGATGGGGCATGATCCCATCATTTTGTTGGGCAATTTCTTAAATTCTGGCCTAACAAAATGTTTCAGACTCATCTTGTACCAGCCCTGCTCCAGTCCTGGAGTCACCTATTTTTCTGGGAGAGCCCTGGCTCCTTTAGTGGGGAGGGGTATTAGAAACAAAAATCTGCGTGCTAAGTGTGCTTATTGGGTGGACTTTTTTTCTTGACTATTTTAGCTGACATCATTAGGAAATAAATGCATACATACACACATGTAAATGCCCACACATAAATAGATATATTCACACACACACATACATATACTTTCTAGGCAGCTATACACGTACATATACAGTTTAGAAATCATGAGTTCACACTAATATCTCCAATTCCAGTCCAGCTCTATAGAGTATTTTATTGCCTTCTGCAATTCTATATTTATATGTTCCCTCTTCCACAACTGAGAATCCTGGCCCTCCAAGTCATCAACATACATACATATATATATACACACATATATATACACACACACACACACACACACAGATATATATATACACACACACATACAGATATATATACACACACACACACACACACACACACACATATATATATGTAAAATTTGTTTGCTCAATCCTATAATGCATCAAAAATGGTTTCAGAAATGCTTCAGGACATTGGTCTGGGCAAAGGTTTTTTTAGATAAGACCTCAAAACCACAGATAACAAAAGCATAAATTGACAAATGACCTCAAGTGATCCACCCGCTTTGGCCTCCCAAAGTGCTGGGATTACAGGCATGAGCCACTGTGCCCGGCTGAAACAAAAATAAGTAAATATTTTTAAAAAGAAAATTATTTCCGAATTGCCTCGCCCATACTGCTACAAAAAAAACAAACTATGAATTCAGAACTTATTTGCAGTTCTCTTCCATCCCCACCATAAGACTAGTGTATCATCAAACATGGTGTTCCTCATTTTGCCAAACTTTGTTGCCACTTCTAGAAGCTTCTCCTCGGTGTAGGTCCCTGTTCTGAAAGGCAGCTTTGGCTGTTAGTTTTGAGAGCTTGTTTGACCCAGACTACTCTGAACCCTTTTGGAATTTACCAAGGAGCCCTTACAGTTGCCCACTGGTTATTAAAGCAAAACTTATTTTATGCTCTGCTGTAGTTCTGAAATTGTCCCACTGTGCTGCTCAGTGTCACCTGGTGGCTATGTGGAGATGTCTAACTCTAAGTTTCTTCAGATAAGCTGCTGTTTCTCTCTGCCTCCTCCCAGATCTTGCTGCCATGCAGGTCTTGTGGCAGGTTGCACCTGCCGTCTTGCCTTTTGGGCCTCACGGAAATACCCTGTCATCTAATTTTGTTGGTTTTGCCATAAACTTGCTCTGTCTAATGTAGAGATTCATGGAAGTTCACAAACTATGCTGCCATATTCACCATCTTCCTAGAATAATTTATCTATACTTCTCTAAGTGTTCCCCACATATTTCACTAAGTAAAATTCCATGATAGCAGTATAACAAAGTGTTTAACCATGGAAGCTTCTGAGTCACACCACACAGGTTTAAATCCTGAGCTTACCACTTTCTATCTGGGTGATCTAGGACAAATTCCCTAAGCCTCAGTTTTCTCAGATGCAAAATGATGATAATAATAACCTACCTGACAGGTAGTTTGGGGACATGGAGAAGGGTAGGGGTGAATTCTTTCAAGGTTTCAAGTAAGAGATGATCTGTTGGCAGCTTAAGTTTTTCCAGAACAGAGAAAAAAATGTTACGCAATTTGTCTCTTAAAACGGACTCAGTTCTGTTAATAATTTTAGGAAAATTAAAACAAACAGATAATTATAAAAATCCTCATTGGCAAACAAGAATACTAATTCTAAGAACATATACATTATTAGTTTTATATATGTATACACACACACACATATATATATATACACACATATATAATAACTAGCAGGAAATTGTCCTGAATTATTCATGTTAATTATGCTGAGCCAAACAGTGTAGATAAGAAAATGTACTTCCCACTGAAATATGTTTGCCTTAGAGAGATTTTTAAGTTGATCATAGTCTCCTTTTTTTATGGTTAGACCTAAGGGCCCTAGGAGGGTCAGAGACACATGTAATTAATTGAATTCCAGCCAACATCATGCTTTTACAGCACAGTCTGCATAATCTAAATTAATTCTACATTTTCCCCTCAATTTCAAAAATAATCATAACTAACCCCCCAATTCAAACCAATTTTCCATCACTGTAGCACATATCTATTTGGAATATAAATGAAACAATGCTCTTTGGTTGCATTCTATTTTGGTACATACTTTCTTTTTTTTTTTTTTTTTTTTTGAGATGGAGTCTCGCTCTGTCACCCAGCTGGAATGCAGTGGCGCCATCTCTGCTCACTGCAAGCTCCGCCTCCCAGGTTCACACCATTCTCCTGCCTCAGCCTCCCGAGTAGCTGGGACTACACACGGCTGCCACCATGCCTGGCTAATTTTTTGTATTTGTAGTAGAGACGGGGTTTCACTGTGTTAGCCAGGATGGTCTCAATCTCCTGACCTCGTGATCCACCTGCCTCGGCCTCCCAAAGTGCTGGGATTCCAGGTGTGAGCCACCGCACCCGGCCGTTTGGTACATACTTTCTATCCAATATATTAGGTTGGTGCAAAAGTAATTGTGGTTTTGCCCTTAATAAATTTTATAGTACATAAAACACACAATATAATATATATATTATATATATTTTATATATTATACATATATTTTATATAATTTATATATATATAAATATATATATAAATATATATATATATATATATATATATATATATATATATATATATATATATAATATGCACTCCCAGGCTGGAGTGCAGTGACTCAATTACTGCTCACTGCAGCCTCAAACTCCTGGGCTCAAGGAGAAGATATATTTCTAAATACTCCATCACAGTCAAGGGGCTTCCTATAAGCAATTACTCAGCCTGTCTAAGCCTCATGATACAGAAAAAGTTCTCAGGACATGTCACTTCATTTAATAAGCACCTCAACTGAGCAATGAACTAACTTCTATGCGACTACAGAAGAGAGTGAAGAGAGTAAAAATCGTTTTTTGAGGCTTTATGGAAGGTATTACTCTGGGGCCATCTCAGTGGATTCTTGAAGGGTAAGTAGGAGTCTATCAGAAAAAGAAGGGTTGAGTAGAGTGGACATTGGGGCAGAGAAGCCAGTGGCCTCAAATGCATGTTTCTTTCTCATCCTGACTGTTCCCTTTTTAGGCAGACATATTTGCTGGAGCCATATTCATCAAGCTGGCCTTGGGATTGGACCTTTACCTGGCAATCTTCATCCTCTTGGCTATGACTGCTGTTTACACCACCACTGGTAAGTATGTTGCATATTTTGCTCACTCAGGCTATCTTTTGCTGATCCCACCCCAACCTGCAATTAGCATTCTCAGTGTTAACCTTGTCACTGCCGAGGTAAAGGCACCATTTCATTTCCACTATGAGAGTCAAGCACAGCACCAGAAACACAACTAGACCATACAACACAGAATCCTCCATATTAGATGTGAACATCTTGATGGAAGGGAATTATGTGGGGGATGGGGTAGGAAACAGGTCATTTGGTTCAGCTATATGTTTGGTAACCAGATTGGCACTTCGAATTCAGCATATCATCCACACAGACGGTTGGGAGGAAGTAGCAGCTCAGATAGGAGACTAGCAAATGAAAGGCAAGGTTCAAATGAACACAGGATGCCAGGGCATGGCCATGGCCATGAATGGTGCAGTTGGGAGAGGAGAACTGGAGCAGTGGGTTGCTGGCGGGAGACGATCTGTGACAATAGTCCAAGCAGGCTCTCATGAACCAGGTATGTTGATATGCTTCTCATGCATACTAACATAAAAATTAAAGTATACCAGCTGAGTTGGAAGACGTAAGGAAAAATACCAGCTAGAACAGTCAAAACAGTTTTGGGGCCATTTTCGTGCATTTGAGCTGTCAACCTAAAATAAGCGACAGAGAGACCAACTCTCCAAAATGAGGAGTTTCTTCGGGAATAGTGAGGGATTGCAAACCAGGATACATGTGCTATGGCAGACCACAGGACTTCCAAGGGGGTTGGGGCAAGGAGAGGCTTTTAAAGACAGAGAGGGAGAGTCCATGTAAGCTGTTTTGAAACAAAGATGATTGCTTCACCTGCTTGTTGCAGGTGCTGGTGTTTGTTCATTGGTGGTACTGGCTGTTGCTAGGAGACAGTCTTCATGATAATGTCTTCCAACAGTTCCTGTTACCGGCATAGGTGTATGAGGGCTCTACCTGCATGGTCTCCCAGCCCCATTTTGTTAGGGTTTGGCATAAGTGTCTCTATTTTGGTACAGACAACTTTCACAGAGCATGTGTTTCAGAATAAGGGAGCAATAAGGGCATGAGTCTTCTGTGTTCAGGATTCATCTTATTTTCTCATGACACTCTCATAAAGGGAATATCTTGTTGCAGGTGCTGGTGACTAACTAGACTGAGAGCCTAGTTAGTCTAGAACTGAAAAAGAAGTTGGGTTTGGATTTTTGTTGTTGTTGTTGTTCAACACTACAGCAAAACACAAAACACAGTAACTATATCTGGTACTGAATTAATGAAACAATAATACGTTCCAGCACTAGAGCAAAAGTGGTTTCACTAGATATTTTAGAGCAGGTGCACTGTGCTGAATGGGCGTAAATTGAGGGATTGTTAAGAGAAACTTTCATGGTATTAAAGTGCTGCCTTTTCCCCTATTTAATATTCAAAAACTCACACAAAGATGAAACTTCACTGTAATTCACAGAAACTTTGAATCAGGGCAAGGCAAGGGAAGTAGGAAAACCAGTGCTGAGGAGATCATGATGCCAGGACAAGCTTGTGGCTCACCCAGGAGCTTTTGATGTCTTCTACTGGGTCATTTCCAGGGTTGTGGGTGGAGGAGAACCCAGTGGTGAAGGTAAATACATGAGGACACATGGATAAAATGCCCTGGTTCTTTTCTTTCTCTCACTAGGGGGCTTGGCCTCGGTGATTTACACAGACACCCTCCAGACCATCATCATGCTGATTGGCTCTTTTATTCTCATGGGGTTTGGTAAGTGATGACCCTGCGTGCAGTGCCCAGGGCCTGGAAATCACGGGACTTGTTTCTGTTCGGTCTGTCTGCTCTTTATTGGGATGCCTTCCAGTTCCATCTGGTCACACTTTCCAGTCATTTACATAATCCCCATCACTGAAATATCTGCCTGACTTCTTTCTTGCTTTATTAGCTCAGCATGAGGAAATGGATGGTGGGGAAGAGAACATCACTTTCTTTTAAAAATTACTGCTTAGAGGCCGGGCGCGGTGGCTCACGCTTGTAATCCCAGCACTTTGGGAGGCCGAGGCGGGTGGATCACGAGGTCAGGAGATCGAGGCCATCCTGGCTAACGTGGTGAAACCCCGTCTCTACTAAAAATATAAAAAATAAGCCCGGCGTGGTGGCGCGCGCTTGTAGTCCCAGCTACTCAAGAGGCTGAGGCAGGAGAATGGTGTGAACCCGGAAATCGGAGGTTGCAGCGAGCCGAGATGGCGCCACTGCACTCCAGCCTGGGCAACAGAGCGAGACTCCATCTCAAAAAAAAAAAAAAAAATTACTGCTTAGATAAGTTATCTCATTTAACCTTGATTTCTTTGTGTTAAGGACAGACAAAATCAGTAGCATTGGGCTGATAATTTTACAGAAGTATTGTCTAGAAACCTTTCATTTACATAGAATTTTTATGAAATGAAGGATTAAATAGTAGGAAAAAATTTGAGAACTGAATATTAGTCAGTTCAACTGAATCATACACATAGAATACACAACCTGTGTTTGTGTATTCTAACAATGTATTGTAGTGGATTTTCATCCAAAACATCCATAACCTCATTATGACTATTTTGGATGGAAATCTATTAACAATACATTGTGATAATACACAAATATAGGTTGGAGTTTTCTTAATAATGCTCACTTATTAGTATCATTCAGTTCATTGCCGTCAAGCAATATTGATCTGATTTACTGCTTGCCAATATTTGTTTTCTCTTATTATGGTATTTATCTTTGCATAGGAAAACTAGCCATACTGGACGGCATGGATACGGAACATTTCTATCATTGCAGAATGTTTCTATTGCACAGTGCTATTGTTAGCACCAATTCTTTGTGTACTTTCTATTCAGTTATCCAGAACTTCTGTGCTGTTCTTGTTCATGGTGCCTTGGTTTCTGGCCTCAGTGATGCACTCTCTGGCATTAGGGTCTCTAAGCCTCAATTCTGCCATCTTTAGGATGAAGAGGGGGACTCTCATCTCTTAGGGTCTCCTATGTATTTTTGTTGCAAACCATATTTATCTAATCAAAGCAACTTCCTTGTATTGTCTGTATCCTCCACTCGGCTAAGTTCCTGCCTTGCACATTTATTTTGCACATGATCCTAGCAGTGTTTGGCGCATAGTAGTCCTTCAGCTAAATAATGAAGTAAATTAATGTTAACTCAGCCCTACAATTGTATAATACCCTGATGAATTTTTCATCATTTAAAGCTATACTAAGGGACCCCAGATGCCTGGACTCAGCTTTCTAAGGGCAATCACAATTCTCTTCTGCACCTGACTAGCCTTTCCAGACCCGAACAGGCTGAGTCTCAGTATTTTCTCTTGTCACGTCTAACCTGCCACTCCCAATTTCTGCTTCTTATCTTTCCAATTTTTTATTGTAACAGGCAAAATATAGTGTTGCACCAGAAAACCAGATTGCAAGTAAGATCAAAAGAGCCAAGCTCTGGGTCAAGAAGAGAGGCCTTTGCCTCCTGATCTTTTTCAGAGGAGCTGGGGCTTTCTGATGGATAATTTCATGAGGCTCACTTTGTTAGCTCACCTTCCAGTTTGCTTATGCTCTAAATGGTTGTGAGACATCAGTGTCAGCCTGTTGGATAACAGCTTCATTTTTACCTTAAAAGAAACACTAACTTAAAATTTCAAAGAGCAATATAGGAAGACAAGTCAGTTATTTGCTTTGTGTACTTCGTGAAAGTAAATCTGGTAGCATGGCCAATGCCAGCGGAGGTACCAGAAAGACATGGACCTGGGAGAGGGTCACTGAGGATTGGACTGGGCTGATGGGAGGTGCTTGTTTACCTCCACCAAAAAGTAGTCATCATAAACATTGGATGTCTTAGATTTCAGTAAGACATCTCATTTTACTCTGATGCCTTTTTAGCATTTAACGAAGTTGGAGGTTATGAGAGCTTTACCGAGAAGTACGTGAATGCCACCCCATCCGTAGTCGAGGGGGACAACTTGACAATCAGTGCCAGTTGCTACACACCTCGGGCGGACTCCTTCCACATCTTCCGAGATGCTGTGACTGGGGACATTCCATGGCCAGGAATTATATTTGGAATGCCCATTACAGCTTTGTGGTACTGGTGCACAAATCAGGTGAAGTATATGTATATGTGTGTCTGTCTGTCTGTCTGTCTGTCTGTGTGTCTGTATGTGTGCATGTGCTTGTTCTTTCTTGTCTCATAGAAAAACATTTAGTTTCCATTTTGCACACACATCGTTTAAAGAGTCAAACCCTTCTCTGTTTTTGTTTTTTGTGTTTTTTTGAGATGGAGTCTTGCTCACTCTGTCACCCAGGCTGGAGTGCAGTGGCATGATCTCAGCTCACTGCAACCTCCACCTCCCGGGTTCAGGTGATTCTCCTGCCTCAGCCTCCCATGTAGCTGGGATTACAGATGTGCACCACCACGCCCAGCTAATTTTTGTATTTTCAGTAGAGACGGGGTTTCACCATGTTGGCCAGGCTGGTCTCGAACACCTGACCTTAGGTGATCTGCCCGCCTCGGCCTCTCAAAGTGCTGAGATTACAGGGGTGAGCCACCGCACCCAGCTTAAAGAGTCAAACACTTCTACAAACCTTGCTATTTAAAAATAGCTGCATGGTGCCCTGCTTTCCACCCTATTTCTTGTCCTTCAGAGGCAAATGCTTTCAGCTCTTTTAAGTAAGTGTTTTGGCATTTATTTCTGTTCCCTAAATCCTTGTGCTCAGTGTGCAGTCTGTGAGCCATCAACATGGACATCACCTTGGAGCTCACTAGGAATAAATGCTCTCAGACCCTATAACCCTATCTAGACCCTTTGAATTGGAATCTGCTCATTAACTTGATCCCCAAGTGATTCAGATAAATGCTTGTGTTGCTCTCTCTTGGTTTTAGGATTTTATTGTTGGCTTCCCTATGATGAAGGATGAGAGTTTAGCTGTCTTTCAACTTTCCCTTCTCAGCCCCATGCAAGCACACCTGTTCCCCCATCCTCCCAATAGCTGTCAATCACAATTTTGGAGAGATCAGCATTCAGTGCCACCATTTTTGTGACTACCTGAATGTAATTCACAGCTGAACCATGTGATGTATACTGCCTGACTTTTCCTCAGCTTTTTTTTTTTTTGGTTCCTGGAATTAATAATTTTAATTCTTGTTTTCTTCCTTTTTTAAAAACATTATTTTTTAAATAGAGACAGGGTCTCACTATGTTGCCTAAGCTGGTCTCAAACTCCTGGACTCCAGCAATCCTTCTGTCTTGGCCTCCCAAAGTGCTGCAATTACAGGTGTGAGCCACCGCACCTGGCCAATTTTTAATTTTTCATTTTGAATTTTCTTGCTAATTATTACTCATTGAATGAAAGATTCTCCTGGAGTCTTTGCCCTCTCACAGTCTGGCAGCACTCCCTCTGGTGCCCAACCTTATCCAATGACCCCTTCGCTATCATCTTTGGGAATTCATTTTTGCCCTACTCCGGTTATTTCTCCTTTTTCCAGTATTGCCTATTGTCTTCTTTCTTAGTTTATTCCGTCCTTCAGGGCAAATCAAAGCCTTCAGTATCTTCCTAAGCTAGGCCTCAGGAAGTGAGAATGAGTGAGAATGTGTGACATTTGTCTTTCTGTGCCTGGCTTATTTCACTTAACTTAATGACCTCCGGTTCCATCCATGTTGCTGCAAATGACAGGGCTTCGTTGTTGTGTATGGCTGAATGGTTTTGCATTGTGTATTATGCATATTTTCTTTATCCATTCATCCGCTGATGGACACTCAGGCTGATTCCACATGTTGGCTATTGTGAATAGTGCTGCAATGAACACAGGAGTGCAGATAGCTCTTTGGTATACTGGTCCACATTATTTCTTATTGCAACATTAAACTCTGGAAAGGGACGCTGACTGCCTTTGAAATCATCCCCTGGCTTGTTTCATGAGTGTGTCACGTTCTCCCGGCAGGTCATTGTGCAGCGCTGCCTGTGTGGCAAGGACATGTCTCACGTGAAGGCCGCTTGCATTATGTGTGCTTACCTGAAGCTGCTGCCCATGTTCCTCATGGTGATGCCGGGGATGATCAGCCGCATCCTGTACACAGGTAAGCCCTGAATCCGTATGTTCTCTCTTTTTTTATGCTTGTATTCTGATAAGTGTTTTTAAAATGTCATAAAACCTTGAGAAAATCCATTCTGGAAGGAAGTAAAAGCAGACTTCCAGGTGGAGGGAGCAGCCTGCACAGTGGTCAAAGGCAGGAAAATTTGGCATATTGGACGCTCTGTTCCTTTATCCTCTTCATACCATCTGCCTATCTCGTAGACATTTGAGTCTGTGAGTTCCGTCTTCATGAGTTGCTTAGATTTAAGGAAGTCCAGAGAATATGGCAAAAGGACACTGCAGGATGAGGTAGAATTGGGTTAATTTGAGTTGAGTGAGCCGTACTGTCTGAGTTTGGTGACATCTCTGACTGAGAAGGTCTTGGTCCCTCTGAGAAAACTGGAGAACTGAATCAATTTTCAGTGCTTTGGAATCAGGTTGTTTGAGGATATGTAAATTTCTGAGTCAGCTAAGAGTAACTGCTAGTGTTAAAAATCTTCCTTAAAAAAATTCAACTTCCTTTCTTTATTACGAAAAGTGAAGGAAATATAACCAAATCTTTCTTGGCTAATTGAGGACTCATTTTTATTGGGGTAATCCCTCAGACAACACTGAATCCACTTCATGTTTTCTCAACTGGGCATCAGTTGATTTCACTGAAATCTTGTTAAGTGAACATCAAGGGACCAACATCACTTCTTACTGCAGCTTTGTAATGTTTATAAGGGTAAAGAATGCTCACGCCTGTAACCTCACCCACTTGGGAGGCTGAGGCAGGAGAATCGCTTGAGGCCCAGGACTTTGAGACCAGCCTGAGCAATACAGCAAGATCCCATCTCTAAAACAATAAGATAAAGTAGCTAGGCATGGTGATGTGTTCTGTAGTCCCAGCTGCTTGGGAGGCTGAGGTGGGAGGACTGCTTGAACCCAGGAGTTCAAGGCTACAGTGAACTATGATTGCACCATTGCACTACAGCTTGGGTGACAGAGACCCCGTCTCTTAAAAAAAAAAAGTGTAGGTATCTAACTAGTGGGGAATGGCCAAAGAAATTATTGTGCACCTCCTTTATGGAAAAATGAAAACAGGAGACTGAAGACTATCTCAAAACTTGGGAAAATACTGAGGTTATGATATTAAATGTAAAAAGAAACTTGCAACATAATGTCTCAACAACTATCATAGTTTTACAAAAAAGACATTTCTCTATAGAAAAGGATTAGGAAGGAATGAAAAGAAGCTAATGTGCTGAAGTGTTATTTTTCTGCGTGATTCTTTATCAATTCTCCCTGTCTGTTGTCATAATGTTGTTTAAGCAAAAACAAAAAACCAACAAGGTATTGTGCAGCTGCCACAGAGGTGAGGCATCATCACACATGGGACAGTCACCCAACTGACCATCACAAGCGACACCTCTTCTTAGATGCAGGTGAAAGATACTAGGCTAAATGTGACTGCACACAGGACCTAACTTCCTGTTGCTGTTGTCAGTCTCCGGAGCTCTGTGTTCCTGGAAGAATTTCTTCTTTTGCTGTTTTCCCAGAGGATGGGGTCCACTCCCTCTCTTTGCTCAAATGCCCTTGCTAGGCCACGTCCCAAGGGAGCCCCTATCCCATGGGTCAGTGCAAGGGGCTATGGGGATAAGATACTTGGGGTTGTGTTTTGGGCATAGAGGGGCCAGATCTATGATATGGAGTTCAAAATTGAATCTCCAGTTTCCAGGCAAATGTCTTTCCTTCCTTATGATCTTTCAACTTTTCTCTTTGTTTAATGGTTGTTGGTTTTGCCTATTTGGGCCTCATTGGACTCACTTCTGAATTCTTCCCCAGATATGGTAGCATGTGTGGTACCTTCTGAATGCGTGAAACACTGTGGCGTTGATGTTGGCTGCACCAACTACGCATACCCCACGATGGTGCTGGAACTGATGCCCCAAGGTAGGAAAATGTCCCTGCTGGGACAGCCCCAGAGGCCTGTCTAAGACGGGCCTCGAGGAAGGGTTATGGTGCAATTCTTGCACCTTCCATTAATTCAATCCAACTCATCAGACATTTCTTGAGCACCTTCTACAGGTTACCAGCTCTGTGCTAGGCCTGAAAATTTCAGAGATGAACCAGGTACAATTACTGTTAGAAGAATTCTTACTCCTTCAGATTCAAGACTGTTTTCTGAGGCAGCCAAGAACAAATTAAATGATCCATTTGTCAATAAAAGAGTTGCATAGTCATAAACTTGTAAACACAAGACCTAGAGGTAAACTATTTTTTCTGCTTTTTGGGGGCTAGTGATAACCAAATAAACCAAATAGAATAAACTATTTATTATGCTTTTTGGGGGGCATTTTTGGGGCTAGTGATAACCAAATAATAGATCTCAATCTATTTAATCTGCAACTATTTATTGAGTGCCTACTAAGTGCCAGGCACTGCTTTGGTGCTAACAAAACATCAGTGAAATAGGCATAAAGTCCCCTACCTCTTGGAACTCAAAATCTAGTAGTATGAGATAGAAAATAAACCACATAGGAAATACATAAATTATTAGGATGCCAGAAGGTGATCATTGCTGTGGTGAACAGAAATGGAGTAGGGTACAGAGCTCAGGACTTGACCAGGTGATCTCCTACTCCATCAAGGGTTGGCTACATTTCTTCCACCTTCCTCCACCCTGACACACAGGAGGGAGGAAGGGACCCTCTTTCCTTCCTTATGATCTTTCAACTTTTGGCCCACAACCATGTCATGGCCCACAACCATGACACCACATGCTTCCCATCCACACACACTCTGTCCTAGGAGGCTTAGGGCCGTTACTAATGGGCAGAGGGAACTGGAGGATGAAGTTCCCATCATGGCTCAAAACTCTTGGCTTTGCCCCTCCAAAGACTTATTTAGCAGAACCGCCTACTGGACTTCTTCCTCTCCAGTTCTCTTAAGTCTTCAGGAAGCCAACAGTCCCTACCCAAAGAAAGATGGTGTGATGTTGTTTCCTCTCTTCTAAAACTAGGTTCCAGTAGATGATCTCTAAGTTCATGTTTAGGACTAAAATTCTTTTTGCTTTAATCTGTCCCCTCAAGCATTTATTTTTTGAGTTACAAACAATTCAATTACACTCTTTAAGTCATTTTAAAATGTACAATTAAGTTATTACTGATTATGGTTACCCTGCTGTGCTATCAAACAGTAGGTCTTATTCATTCTTTCTCTTTTTTGTACCCATTAACCATCCCCGCTGCCACCCCTAGTCCCCCATTACTCTTCCCAGCCTCTGGTAACCATCCTTCTGCTCTCTATAGCCATGAGTTCAATTGTTTTTGATTTTTAGATGGCACAAGTAAGTGAGAACATGTGATGTTTTGTCTTTCTGTGCCTGACTTATTTATACTGGATTATTCTCAGGTGACCAGGAAAATATGCAGGAAACTCCACATGCTGATGTGTATTGATAAGGACATCAGTTAACCTATGTTCCAGATGATACTTTTAACCTTTCAACCCTCTCTGGTTTAGCAAGGCAGTGTCCAGCCACTAACCAGTGCTTGTACCCTTTCCCGGCTCCAGGACTGCGAGGCCTGATGCTTTCGGTCATGCTGGCCTCTCTCATGAGCTCCCTGACCTCCATCTTCAACAGCGCCAGCACCCTCTTCACCATTGACCTCTACACCAAGATGCGGAAGCAAGCGTCGGAGAAAGAGCTCCTGATAGCTGGACGGTGAGTGAACCCTGGTTCCCACCTAGAATCCTCTGGAGAAGTACAGACGTAGAAGTGAACTAGAGTTCCCTTGTCTTTGGCTTTGGTGAAAGTAATCATAGCATCTGGGTAGAGGGAAGAGACATTGGAGTACATCAAATTCAAGTGATCACTTTCCAGATACAAAAATTTGAACCATACCTTTAAATGAAATAATCACTTTTTCAGTCTTTCAAATGCTTCTGAATGGCTCTTATTTCTTCCCCTCCTCACATCACCCCCCTATCCACATCTTCATAAAACTCCACCAGTATTTTAATAGGGTGTAAAATTTCCACCTACTCTGATAGGTGAATGCATTGTCTCTAGCAGTTTCCATGTATATCACATGGAGGTAATGGATTAAGTCTTCCACACATGAACACAGAGGAGTTTATCAGTCATATTCATTAATGATTGGGCTGTGTTACAAAGGAGCAGGGAAGGGACTAATTCCAAGAGGATGCTTGGAGAGTTAAGTCAACCCAGGGGACCCTGAGCAGCCTGGGGGCCTTGAAGATAGTGGAAGTGAGATGGAGGGAAACAAGAGGAAAAAAATCGATACCAGAATGTCCTTTTTCACCTTCACAATTTTCGAGAAGACCCTATATTGTCATAGCATTTTTTTTTTTTGAGACAGAGTTTCACTCTTTTTGCCCAGGCTGGAGTGCAATGGCATGCTCCCAGTTCACTGGAACCGCCGCCTCCCGGGTTCAAGCGATTCTCCTGCCTCAGCCTCCTGAGTAACTGGGATTACAGGTGCCCGCCACCATGCCCAGATAATTTTTTGTATTTTTAGTAGAGATAGGGATTCACATCGTTGGCCGGGCTGGTCTCAAACTCCTGACCTTGGGTGATCCATTCTCCTCGGCCTCCCAAAGTGCTGGGACTACAGGTGTGAGCCACCGCCGGCCTGGCCTGTCATAGCATTTTGTAAAATGTTTTAAAAATCAAAGTACAGCACACATAAAGAAAACAGTTAAAACATGGATGCACAGCTCAGAGATGTGTCACCAAGTGAGGACCCATGTAACCATCGATCAAGTCAAGACATGGAAATTACCAGCACCCAGAAGTTCGTTCGTCTTGGGCCACCTCGTTCCAAAGCTAACCACTGTGACTTGTGATGCTATAGCTTAGTCTTTTCCAACTTCAGGCTATCATAAGTAGAATAATTGAATTTGTATCCCTTGAAATACAATTTTTTTTTCAAGACAGAGTCTTG
Organism: Homo sapiens; assembly: GCF_000001405.40. NCBI lineage: Eukaryota > Metazoa > Chordata > Mammalia > Primates > Hominidae > Homo > Homo sapiens. The sequence goes on along the minus strand of NC_000022.11, from coordinate 32,227,950 downwards.
CTGTCGCCCAGGCTGGAGTGCAGTGGCTCGATCTTGGCTCACTGCAACCTCTGCCTCCCGAGTTCAAGCGATTCTCCTGCCTCAGCCTCCCGAGTTCAAGCGATTCTCCTGCCTCAGCCTCCCGAGTAGCTGGGACTAGAGGCGTGCACGACCATGCCCAGCTAATTTTTGTATTTTTAGTAGAGACGGGGTTTCACCATGTTGGCCAGATGGTCTTGATCTCTTGACCTCGTGATCCGCCCACCTCAGCCTCCCAAAGTCTTGGGATTACAGGTGTGAGCCATCCCCACCTGCCGAAATATGGCTTCTTTTGCTCATGTTATGTTTGCAACATTCAACCGTGTTGCTATGTGTAGCTGTAGTGTAATTTCTTTCTCTGTGATGTTCCACTGTAGTAAGATATCAGAATTTGTCTACTCTTTTCAAAGAAATTGGTATCAAGAGAAACTGACCAACTATTTAAAAGACTGTACTTTGTTGGTGACAGTAACAATAGCTTTAGTAAATTAAAACACTTGGGGCAAAACCCAAAGGCCTCACTTGGCCCAGAGCTTGACTCTGGACAAATGCTGTAGGAGAGGGAGTACAGTAGGGCAGGAGTGTACCTTTAGTAGAGAAGGTACTGGTTGGTGTTCAGGAGACCCAAGATGCAGTCGTCCCACTGATAGGTATATGATCTTGGACACACATCCTCCTTAAGTCTCAATGATAAAGTAATAACTTTTTCTTTTCCCCTCTCTCTGTTATCAAATGTCTACTATCTCACAAAACACAAATAGGAAAAAAACATGTACGTTTTTAAAATTCTTGCCTTGTGGAATATATGCCTTTGTCAGGAAGATAGACAATTAATAAAGGTATGCTACCTCAGGTGACCAGAGGTGCTAGAAAGACAAAGCAGGAAGAAAGGATGGAAGTAACCTCATCCAGGTGCTCAGGGAGTCCTCTCTGAGGAGGTGGCATCTGAGCAGAGCCTGCAATGCAGGAAGTGTGGGAGTGAGCCCCATGGTGCTCTGGGGGAAGGAAAAACGAGGGTTGCTTTCCTCCCACAGTCACATATGTGATATGTTTGAGAACAAGCAGGAGTGAGGTTCATCCATGAGAAGCCAGTGGGAGAGTGAAGAGCAAGGTCAGAAAGGTGCCTGGAGGCGAGGTCATCCAGGGCCATTGAAGTCATAACAAGACGGGATTTTATTCTACATGTGATAGGAAACTGGAACTGAATGAGTTGGGAAAGCACATGATTTGTCTTCCAATGGTAATTAAAAAAAAATACCAACAGTAAGTGTAATTTATTGAATCCTTACTGTGGTTTAGGCATTATGCTAAGACTTCCCATAGTTTATCACATTTAGTTGTTGCAAGGATGCAGTGATTTTGTAACATTTAAATGAGACATTTGTGCTTCAGTCTCCTGCCCAAATGCTTGTTCCTTCCTCCACCCCACAACTGCTTCTCTGTTTCATGTGAGCAGAGAGAGATGAATGGCCTTTTACGCACACTGCAGTAAATTGCGTCGGTTCATTTACTCACAGAACAAGCACAGACAATGCTGCAGTTTAGAAAGGTTAAGAAGTCATGCTCCCTGGACAACAGGAGCCTTTAACACGCTTTTTACCTGCTGAAGTACTCAAGTAGTAAAATGCACAAGTTAGCATTTCTTGCTGATTTACCCAGCATTCTGAGATAGAGGCTGTTTCCATTCTAACCTATGCAAACCAACTTTGTTCCCTGCAAGCTAGCAAAAGAACAAAAAATGGAAGTCTGCTTTCTTTATCATACAAATAATTGCTGGTTAATAGAAGTAGTGTGGTATTTATTTCCAATTGATATACTACATGTAGTGTATTGGAGTTATTAATCACTGATATTTTAACTATTTTTATGAATAGATATTTAATCTCATAGATGAAGCTATTATGATTAATTATAGACAAGCAATTGCTTTATTGGCACTTTACTAAAAGATCACCATTAAGCACAGCATGGGTTTATGTATGATCAAGGAGCTTGATTTTGTTTGGAAAATCAATGAGTGACAACAAGAATGAACGCTAGAACTAAAGCACAATGGAAGTAACTATAGTGCTTTTGTTTAATGTTTAAATTATGTTGTTTTCTTCTCAGGATATTTGTTCTTCTATTAACTGTTGTGAGCATTGTGTGGGTCCCACTGGTACAAGTTTCTCAAAATGGACAACTAATCCATTACACAGAATCAATTTCTAGCTACCTTGGGCCTCCAATTGCAGCTGTCTTTGTGCTTGCCATCTTCTGTAAAAGAGTCAATGAACAGGTGAGTGAAAACTGGAAAAAAAGTTTCCCTGCTGGAGTGAGAAAAAAATCGTTTATTTCACTGGGGTATCAAAATACATTCTTTCTCCCCTATTTATGCAAATCATGGCCCATCTTAATTTTAGTTGAGGTCAGCCACAATTCCTGATCCTTGCTAAAGTATAAAAATATAGCGCACATTCATAGTACAGTCTTTATATGTTTCTTACAAAATATTACGTACATACATGGTGCAGAGTTGAGGAACATGTTTGGGAGGCAGACTGCCAGGGCCCAATCATGGCTATACCACCTAATCGTATTGTGATCCTAAGCAAATTGCTTGAGTCTCTGTAAAATGAAGATAATGATAGCACCTATTCTATGGGATTGTGGTGAGTATTAAGTGAGATAAAATATGTGAAATTCTTAGAAGAAAACCTACCACACTGCTAAGAATTCAAATTGTGTTCATTACTATTGTGATATATGTAATTAATTGATTATTGTGGATCATGTACCCTTAATCTTTCAATCATTCCTTAGTACTAGCCTTACTATTATGATTTTCAGATGAGGAACAGGTGCAGAGGGGTTAGTATCTATGTGCTTTCCACATGTTACTTAATATTAGTAAGTGGGATCTTGGTATTCAGGCTTAGATCTTCTTCCATCCAAAGCTCATACCATTAATCTCCATGCAATACAGTTTTTCTAAAACATAACATCTTGAGCAGAGGAACAGACACATGTTTCCACCCCCATCAACTCCTCACAGAAATAAATTATCAAGAGCTTCATAGAACTCTCAAAACTACCTAATATCAGCTCTGGAAATTGTGTAACATAATTGATACTTCTGCTTATTTTATCAAATAAATCACAAGTGTTTTGATCTAACTATGAAACAAAAGTCAAGGAAAACTTCAGCTTGGGTCAGTGTAGACAGTAGTGTCCTGGTATTGGAGAATCAACGATGGTGCAGTGGTATGTACAGTTCAGGATCATGGAAAGCAGCATCCAACTAAGAAGCACATGTATTTGCAATTTTCTCTATGTCGGTAACCTTGTGCCCAAGGTTAGCCATTTGTTGGTCCTTAACTGAGAAAGCAGGCAGGATTATAATGATGACTTACTTGAATAAGCTTCTCATATTTTCTAAACATTCTGATTTTCTTCTTGCTTCTTTTGCAGGGAGCATTCTGGGGTCTAATGGTTGGACTTGCAATGGGCCTCATTCGTATGATAACAGAGTTTGCTTATGGAACAGGGAGTTGCTTGGCTCCCAGTAACTGTCCCAAGATTATCTGTGGAGTGCACTATCTGTACTTTTCCATCGTTCTCTTTTTTGGGTCCATGCTGGTCACCCTGGGAATTTCCCTCTTAACAAAACCCATTCCTGATGTACATGTGAGTGATGAGTAATGAATACATGCTAATTTTAAATAAGAGTTCTTGGCCGGGCGCAGTGGCTCACGCCTGTAATCCCAGCACTTTGGGAGGCCAAGGCGGGCGGATCACGAGGTCAGGAGATGGAGACCATCCTGGTTAACACGGTGAAACCTTGTCTCTACTAAAAATACAAAAAATTAGCTGGGTGTGGTGGTGGGCACCTGTAATCCCAGCTGCTCGGGAGGCTGAGGCAGGAGAATGGCGTGAACCTGGGAGGCGGAGCTTGCAGTGAGCCAAGATCGGGCCACTGCACTCCAACCTGGGTGACAGAGCGAGACACTGTCTCAAAAAAAAAAAGAGTTCCTTGCCTTTTATTGTATGCATGTATGAGTTCCAGGAAATGTATTCATTGTACCTCTAGAGCTAGAAGAACCCTAAGAGATTATCATTCAGTCACTGAAATAAAGAACAATTTGCACCTAGTATGTGCAAAGCACCAGTGAATTAAAAAGTAAGGGATTAGAAAATGGACATTATATTTTGTAAACTTCACAGAGTAGTTGGGAAGTCAATCTACAGCATTGTCATAGGACACCAGGAAGAGAATAATTGGTGTTTCCAAAGACACTGGGAAAGACTTCACAGCAGAGCTGTCATCTGGGCTGTGCCTGTTTGGGTCAATAGGATTTCATATACAGCATGAACACTGACTGGCACAGAGATGGGGGGAAAGTACATGGTACCAGGGGGCAGGAAAAGAAAGAATAGAATAATGAGATGCATTTTTGCCTTTCAATTTGGCAAAAATGTTTAATATGAATAATATTTAATGTTAGTGGTTGATATTAGTGTTGTGGGAAAATTCCCACAGTCCAAAACTGTTGGAGAGTGCGTAGATTTTGTAATTTATAGTAAAGCAATTGGGTAGTATTTATGGATAAATACTTATGAATACTTATGAAACAACAATCCCAGTTTTAGGAGCTTACTGTGTATAAATACTTGTTCAAGTAGGAAAAATATGTGTATAAGGATTTTCTCTGCAAAAGTTTTCAAATAGGAAATAGCTGGGAGAAAATCCAGATTTCATCATGAAAGGAATGAGCACACAAACACAGGGCACTGAACATTATGCAGCTGTTTAGAAACATGAGGGAGCTCTATTATTCACTTTGGAAAAAAATGTTCATAATATGGTTAAGTGGAAAAATATGTGCAGAATAATATAATAATGTATAATAGCGCTTTCTGAAATAAAACACATGTAGGCATATAGATGTTTGTCTAAGCATACAAAAAAAAATCTTAGAGCATATCCACCTAAGATTTTCAACAAGAGGCATCTCAGGGAGTGGGGAGACACTCTAGGGGCCCAGCAAATATTAACTAATTATTTTTAAAATATAAATACTGCTTATATACTAATACTGTTTGAATTGTTTGAATTTATGACTAAACATGTGTAGCTTTTATGTATTTTGAATTTATCACTCACAATTTTTGAAGCAATGCTTCTTTATATATTTTCCTGAGAAGTGGCCAGTAGATTATGTGTGGATGGGAAACCTGAAATACAGCACAGCTCAAAATGTTTTACGAAGGACATGTCACTGAAATTCCTAACTAAATATTTACGCTGAATATTGAGTTAGATGAAAGAACACTAGAAAACATATCATAGTTTTTAAATATATATATGTTAAATTCTTATTTGCCAGTAGAAGTAACCAATTTTATTACTAATTTTTAGGAAAAAAATATTGTCTGAAGGACCAGTGAGACCATTTTTCTGATTTATGTTAATGTCTCATTAATATGCTGCAAGGTTTAACTTTCAAAATAGACTGATAAATATCATGGTTATTTCAGAGAAAGTCATGAAAACTGTTGTGAATCTAGCCTACCAGTGCAGAAATGAGATGTCCCAGGATGATAGTCTTTCAGCAAAACTAGAAATTACTCTATGTGTAATTAAACAGAAATTGAAGGACTCCCAAGAAGAGAGTTTTTAACAAAGAAAGTGGATCTAATACAAGAAATCCTGTGAATAAGAGCTTATGAAGACATGATTAGGAATCTTAGTGAGAAGGTAAAGGCATATGTTACATCAAGAACAAATAAAACCAATTACAAATTCTAGTAAATTTGTACAAGAAAGTCATGAGCCAAATTAAAATGAGGTATAACTTAGAATATGATAGATTATAAAGGTTTAAAAACCATTGATAGGCTGGGCGCAGTGGCTCACGCCTGTCATCCCAGCACTTTGGGAGGCCAAGGTGGGTGGATCATCTGAGGTCAGGAGTTTAAAACCAGCCTGGCCAAAAACATAGTGAAACCCTGTCTCTACTCAAAATACAAAGATTAGCCGGGCATGGTGGCAGTCACCTTTAGTAACCCCAGCTACTCGTGAGGCTGAGGCAGGAGAATTGCTTGAGCCCAGGAGGCGGAGGTTGCAGTGAGCCAAGATCGCACCATTGCACTCCAGCTGGGCAACAAGATGGAAACTCCTTCTTATTGAAAACAAAACAAACAAACAAAAAAAAAACATTGATACTTGGAGCAATTTCCTTAGAATGACCCAGGGCTGATATTTACTTGTGTCCAATCAGTACATACAGCATCAATTCTATTTATTTTCAAATGCTTAAATCAACATACAGACTAACCATGGAAATCTTAATATATTTACAGAAAATAATAATTATATAAAGCATAATAGTTTAAAATAATGGTATAGCTGACAGAAGTTTGGAGATGGTTTAGGAAAAGGAGTGTGTAAGGGTACTAATTGCAACTGGAATTCAATAGTACATAGATACCAGCCAAATGTGATGGATCCAGAAATAGAATTTAAGAAGATAGTTTGAAAGTTATAAAAGCAACCACTAGATAAACTGAAGGAAATCATGATGTGGCTAATAACTGTTGGATGTTAAGGACAATGAGTGAAGCTGGGGTATAGTGTAGGTTAGCTAAATCTTCAACTTTGCTGAAATTACAAATCCAGAAGTAGGTATTTTTAAGTATATCATTTGAAGTTCTAAATAGCAACCAGAAAGAATTAAAAACAGAAAAAAATTTAAAATGATTAGTGTGTTTTGATGAGTGAGTGTGGTAGGAGGCCTTTTCTTTGTGATCTATATTCTCCTGTATGGTTTGATTTTTTAAAAACACCAGACGATAAACAAAGGTACCATTCTATTATACTATTGCAAACATTTGCCTATTACTAATGCACTTTTGTATGGTCCCTGTTCAGCTGTACCGCCTGTGCTGGGTTCTTCGGAACAGTACAGAGGAGCGAATCGATATAGATGCAGAAGAGAAAAGTCAGGAAGAAACAGATGATGGTGTTGAAGAAGGTAATATTTGGTTTACATTTGGTTTTCATGTAGGAACTCTGTGCACAGGCTTGTTTATGGTTTTCTTTTAATGTCATTAAATCCAGCTTCCGAAAAGGCTGTTAGATTTATGACAAACTGAAACTTTAAATTTTTACCTTTCCAAAAACCAAGACAACATATTAAATCCATCTATTCATCTGCCTGTCCATTGGTTGGTTTGTCCACCCATCATCCATCCATAGTTACTGAGATGACAGTTACAGACTCGCCTGTTCCTAGTTACATAGTAAGTGTTCAATCTTGATTGTCTGCAAATAAGCATCTAGCCCCACCTTCTCTCCAACTTTACTTCTCAGTATTTTCTCTAACATACCCTCTATTCCAGGCAGACAGGTTTTCTCACTTTTCCACATGCGCCAAGCTCCCTAGAATATTTCTACCTCCTGTCCAAGGGGAAAAAAAATGCTTATTCTTTAAAACTAAGTTCTAATCTCACTTCCTTCATGAAAATTTCTCCATCAGTCATCCCCCTGGCTCTTTGTTTACCTAATGTTTTTTAAACCTCAGATAAGGTTTAGCACTTCACAATATGTTGTCTTAAACTGGACAATAATTGTCTGTTTTGGTTTGGTTTCTTCAAAGTGAAGAGTCAGTGCTTTCTGTTCCTTTTGATTTTTTATATCAGCATTCCTGAGTATGACTGGCCTATCATTTTCTGGTTTTGTACTAAGTCTTTGGTTTTGGTATTCAGATCATAGAGTTATCATAGCATGAATCAGAAATTAGCCCATTTTTCCATTTTATGAAAATATTTCAATAAGATTGAAATAATGTTGCCATTGAATTTTGGTATTTTGCCAATAATACCATAAGGGCTGTGTGTGTGTGTGTGTGTGTGTGTGTGTTGCACATCTTAATTACTGATCAAATTTATATAATGGCTATAGAACTATTTAGAGTTTCCATTTTTTCATTAATTGTTTTTGGAAAATTATACATTTCTAGGATTGTGCCCATTTAGTGCACATTTTAAATATATTGGCATAAAGTTATTCATAGTGTCTACTTATCCATCTATGCTGCCTCTATAGTTGTGTTATCCTTTCAATCTCTAGTATATTTTGTGATTTATCGTTTTTCTTAATCTTACTAAAGATTTGTCTAGTTTGCTTTTCTCAAAGAACTAACTTCTGGCTTTGTCATTTCTATTATTTTCCTTCTTTTCTATTTCATCCTTTCTGTTTTTATTTGTATTCTCTTCCATTTACATTATTTAGGTTTATTCTTTTTTTTTTTTTTTTTTTTTTGCTAAGTTGGATATTAACTCATTCATTTCCGGTAAATCTGGAAATTTTACTTTTCTTTTGATTTTTCTTTCTCTTTTCTACATAAATAAGACCATATACATTTCCCTCAAAGTAATACTGTTTTAAATCTCACAGCTTTTAATTTGTATAATTTTCATTATCATTTCTTTTTAAATATAATCTTACGTTAATTGTGATTTTTATAAACATTTGAGTTTAGAAGTATTAAATTTTCCAGTGCTGCAACAGATAGCCATATACATGAGTCTTTCTGTATTTTTGCCAGTGTAAGCTGGGGATAGATTTTGTGGAGTTCCGTTGTTGGGTCAAAGGGTTCATGCCTATATGATTTTGCAATACGCTACTAATTCCCCTCCATAGGGGACTTGCTTCCCTAGCAACAATATAGAAGAGTGCCTGTTTCCACGCAAACTCACTAACACAGTATGTTGTGAAACTTCTGTATTTTTCCCACTAATAGATGAGAAAGTGGTATAGGTTTAGTTTACATTTCTCTTTTTTGAGTGAGCTTGAGAACCATGTGTCTTTTTTCTTTCAACTGTTTATTCATCTCTCTAATATGCTGACATGGGGCTGTTGATAGCCTTTTCTTACCTATTTTTAGAAACCCATTATATATTAAAGATATTAAACCCTTTGTAATAGAATATGCGAACGTTTCCCCCATTTTGTCATTTGTTTTTACTTTGTTTATTGAACTTCGTGCCATGCAAAAGTCGCCTGTTTTTATATGATTAAATTTATCTACATTTTCTCAGGGATTCCTCTTAACACTCCCAGCTGATTGTAATCATTTTTTACAGTCATAGGTACTACACTGACAAGGATTTCTAGTTCCTTTGTGATCTAGATCTTCTGCAATCATTTGCTTATCTTTGTTCCAGATTATCCTGAGAAATCACGTGGATGCCTCAAGAAAGCTTATGACTTGTTCTGCGGTTTGCAGAAGGGACCCAAGCTAACCAAGGAGGAGGAGGAAGCCTTGAGCAAGAAGCTCACAGACACGTCTGAGAGGCCCTCGTGGAGGACAATAGTGAACATCAACGCCATCCTCCTCCTGGCTGTGGTGGTCTTTATTCACGGCTACTATGCCTGAACTCTATCTGAGCCATTAGAATAATGAATAATTCTTAATAATGAACCAAAGGATAATTTTAGTGATTTTAATTTTTTTTTTTTTTTTTTTTTTTTTTTTTTTTTTTTGAGAGGGAGTCTTGCTCTTTCTCCCAGGCTGGAGTGCCGTGGCGCTATCTCGGCTCACTGCAAGCTCCGCCTCCCGGGTTCACGCCATTCTCCTGCCTCAGCCTCCCGAGTAGCTGGGACTACAGGCGCCCGCCACCACGCCCGGCTAATTTTTTGTATTTTTAATAGAGACGAGGTTTCACTGTGTTAGGCAGGATTGTCTCGATCTCCTGACCTCGTGATCCACCTGCCTCGGCCTCCCAAAGTGCTGGGATTACAAGCGTGAGCCACTGTGCCCGGCCATTTTCATGTTATAGTATGTTGTGTGGCAAAAAAAAAAAAAAAAAATGAGCAGTTGGTAATTTTATCTAATGAGATGACTACAGACTTGATATTTTGCTTTTGTTGCTCCTTTGTGTCACTAAGAGTTGATAATTTATAAAACTGTGAAGTGACCTCTACGTGTGCAAACAAGACACACAGGTCTAAATTCTATTTTTCCAGCTTTATTGAGGTATAGTAAACAAATGAAAATGGTTTATATTTAGGATGTACAACGTGATGATTTGATATATGTATACATTCTGAAACAGTAACCACAATCAAGTTAACTAACACATCTGTCACCTCACATGTTTACCTTTTCTGTGTGTGTGGTGAGAACAACTGATAGACTCTTAGTAAATTGCAAGCACACAATACAGTATCATTAGCTACAGTCACCATGCTATCCTTTGCACCCTCAGAATATATTCATCTTATGAATGTTTGTACTCTGACTAATACCTCCCCAGTTACCTACCCCTTCGCCCCAGGCAACCATCATCTACTCTCTGCTTCTATGAGTTCAACTTTTCATTGCAGCACTGTTCACAAGAGCTAAGATACAGAAACAATTTAAGTGTGCTGTGATGGATGAATGATGAGAATGTTGTATATATACATAATGGAATACGATTCAGAACTAAAAATGAAGGAAATCCTGCCACTTGCAACAATGTGGATGAACCTGCAGAACATTATGCTAAGTGAAATAAGCCAGACACAGAAAGACAAATGCTATAGGATCTCACTTATATGTGAAGCCTTAAAAAGAAAATGACCAGGTGATATGGTTTGGCTGTATCCCCACCCAACTCTCATCATGGATTGTAGTTCCCATAATCTCCACGCGTTGTGGGAAGGACCTGGTGGGAGGTAATTGAATTGTGAGGGCGGTTATCCCCGTGCTGCTGCTGTTGTGATCGTGAGTTCTCATGAGATCTGATGGTTTCTGATGGTTTTATAAGGGGCTTCCCCCTACTTCGCTTTGCACTTCTTTCTCTCGCCGCCTTGTGAAGAAGGACGTGTTTACTTCCCCTTCCACCATGCTTGTAAGTTTCCTGAGGCCTCCTCAGCCATGCTGAACTGCGGGTCCATTAAACCTCTTTCCTTTATAAATCACCCAGTCTTGGGTATGTCTTTATTAGCAGTGTGAGAACAGACTAATACACCAGGCAAATTTCCCTACCTCATACTTGCTTTCTGAAGTTTCCAGAGATTTCCATTTGAAAAGAATGCCTCTTCCAACTCTGCCTCACCTAGTAACCTTCTCATCTACACCACAGTGACTTCTCCTGTGAAGCGACCTTCACTCAGTTATTTCAAGGATTTAAAATATAAAAATGTTTTCTAATAGTTGACAGGGGGGTGAACTAGAAATATCCATTGTAAATATCTTTTAAATATACTGGAAATTATTGCTTACATCTTAAAGCCATTTGTCACTGAATACTAAAACATCAAACCATTGATTTTTAACTGCTTCATTAAAATATAATTCACATACTATAAAATGTATCTATTTAAAGCATATAATTCAGTGTATTTTAATATATTCACAGAGTTTTGCAACAATTATCACAATCCAATTTTAGATATTAACATTTATTGGCATCCTTGAATATACGTATTTCTCTGTCTTTATTTCTGTTTTAACACAGTGAATGACAATTATCTCTATGTAGAATTGTAGAGAGGTTTAAGACACACCTTTTTGTAAGCAAGTCAACAAACTAAAATATGTTTTAATAAATTACGTAAGAAACATGGAAGAGGGCCGGGCGCGGTGGCTCACACCTGTAATCCCAGCACTTTGGGAGGATGAGGCGGGCAGATGACGAGGTCAGGAGTTCGAGAGCAGCCCGGCCAACATAGTGAAATTCTGTCTCTACTAAAAATACAAAAAATTAGCTGGGCGTGGTGGCACACGCCTGTAGTCGCAGCTACTCAGGAGGCTGAGGCAGGAGAATCGTTTGAACCTGGGAGGCGGAGGTTGCAGTGAGCCGAGACCGCAGCACTGCACTCCAGCCTGGGTGACAGAGTGAGACTCCATCTCAAAAAAGAAACATGGAAGAGAGAGCACTTTCAGCACATGCTGGAGACTGTCTCTTCCTGGGTAAAAATAATAAAAATTAAAGAAACATATCCATCATATTGTTATAAAAATTCAAACAATGCCCTTGGGTCTGTAGAATTAAATATAATACTCTTCACTGACAACCTAATCCTCTCATCTACTGTCACTAACTTCCCAAAGAAGTGTTGACAAGTTAAAGCATATGTTCTAGTAAGTAATTTTTCTATTAATTTATATACATATGTAAACATACACATACATTTACAAAATGCAATCTTCCTTTATGTGTTATTTTGTGACTGGCTTTTACACATAAAATATATCTTGGAGATCTTTGCCTATCTGTACAAATAGATCTCCCTCATTCTTCTTATAGCTGCACTATTGTTCCATAGGATAGTTCACTATAATTTGGCCACTTTTCTACTAAGGAGCATTCATGTTGGTTTCAATTATTTGCTATTATCTACAATACTCAAATAGACATACCTGTATATTCATCTTTTGACATATTTGCTAGTTTTATTTTCTTTATTTTCCTAGAAATGGAATACTGGAGCAAAGTGTACAAGCATTAATATTTTGATTAAAAATTATGTTTCAAAAAGGATTTGCCAATTTATATTCTCATCAGTATATGAGAGTTTTTATTTACTCACATGCTTGACTACAGGGTATATTACCAATCATAGTGAATTTTTGTCAATTTGATGATTGAAAAATAGTTTCATTTTTTAAATTGGTATTTCTCCACTTACTAGTGAGATTGTATATATTTGCATGTATTTATTAGCTATTCATATTTTTTCTGTGAATTACTTGATATCCTTTACCAATTCTCTAATTCATTTACAGATATTCTTTACATATTCTATATATTTATTATTTGCATATGAATAGCAAGTATTTTGTCTTAAAGTCTATGTCTTGCCTTGTAACTTTATGTTGTCTTTTATTGTACAGAAGCTTTAATTTATATTTAGTCAAATTGTTTCTTTTTCTCTTATGACTTCTGGGTTTTGTGACTTACTTTCAATTGTCTTTTCAGGGTTTTGTTGTCTGTTTTGTTTGAAATGACATACTGAAATCCTACATTATATTGCAATTTACTTTTTTCTCTTTATACTGCATTGTGGACATTACTAAGCCTAACTAATGTAGATCAAATGTATTTATTTTAATTTCTGCCTAATTTATAATATTGAATGTATTTTATTTCCTTAGCAATTCCCGCTTTTTCTTTTCTTTCTTTCTTTCTTTTTTTTTTTTAAGACAAGTTCTTGCTCTGTCACCCAAGCTGAAATGCAGTGGCACTATCATGGTTTGCTGCAGCCTGCAATTCCTGGGCCCAGTGATTCAGTAAGGCCAGAAATTAAAAGAACAACTTCTGGGCCAAAGAAATCCTCCTGCCTCTGCCTTCCAAGTATCTGGGACTACAGGCACATGCCACCACACCCTATTTTTTTCAGAGATGGGATCTTGCCATGTTGCCCAGGCTGGTCTTGAACTCCTGACTTCAAGTTACTCACCTCAGCCTCCCAAAGCGCTGGGATTACAGGCATGAGCCACTGCATCCAGCCAACAATTCCCCTTCAGATGGACATTCAAGTTAAGTACTCTTTGCCACCACAAATAGTGTTGTAGCAATCATCTTTTACACTGGATGGTTTCATTTCTACAGGACAGAATCTTTGTAGTGGTATAACTTAGCCATAGCTATGTTTACTTACACTTTTAATAGATACTGATTAGTTACTTTCCAAAAAGTTGAAGCAATTCACATTCCCATCAACAGGGAACAAGCAGGAGGACCGTTTCCCCTGCAGGCTCAGTAGCAACAAAAGTTGTTGCTTTTTCAAAAAATATATATATCTTGCTAATTCCCTTGGTGAAAAATCTCACAGGAGTGCTAACTAATCAGTTATTTTAACTTCAATTAGTTGCCTATTTATAACCTTTTCCTATTTTTCTATCAAGTGGTTTAAGGTGAGGAACATTCTTAAAACAGGAAACCTAAAAATAATAAACACATTTTGTATATCAAAAGGCAGTGCAAATGAAATTGAAAATGTGGAGTCCAAAAGATATTACAAAACAGGAAAAAAAGAGCTCCCATAAATAAATGAGAAAGAGACAAGTAAGCCTAACTGTTGAACTGCATTTGGATAGGAAGAAACAGACTTGGGCTTCCCTGCTATATATATAGATATATATGTATACATATATAGATATATATATCCATATATATGTATAGATATATATGTATACATATATAGATATATATCCATATATATGTATAGATATATATGTATACATATATAGATATATACATATATGTATAGATATATATGTATACATATATAGATATATACATATATGTATAGATATATATGTATACATATATGTATACATATATAGATATATATGTATACATATATGTATATATATACACACATACATATATAGTGTGTATATATATAGTGTGTGTATATATAGTGTGTATATATAGTGTGTGTATATATATATATAGTGTGTGTGTGTGTGTGTGTGTGTGTGTATATATATAATATAACCTCCTTGGAATAGACAATGTCTTCATACAGAGGACACAAAAATTACCAATCATAGGAGAAAAAAGCAATATATTGAACTACATCAAAATTGAAAACTTCTAGCCAACAAAAGTCACCTTAAAGGAAATGACCAAACAACCCACAAAATAACTGAAAATACTTAGAGTACGCACACGTCTGACAAAGGAGTTGTATCCGGAATAAAAAGACCAACAGGCCAACTTTAAAACTCAAAAAAAAAAATGACACTTGGAGAAGAGCTTCAAGGTGACTGACTAGAGGTGCCCAACATTCGTCTCCTCCACAAAGAAGGAGCAAAACAGATAATCACATGTCAAATAGAGCATCTAACAGAGAATGCTGGAATTCAGCGGGGAAGTGACAGAACCATCCGAGATATGGAAGGAGAGAAAAGCAAGACCAGATGAGCTCCCCAGTGCAGGGGAAAAGGTAAGTGAGAGATTCCCAGGGGTCCACATTCCCACCACAGATTCCTGCAACCCTGGCCATGGGAGAGCCCCTCAGCTCTTGTGGGCCCTGAGACAGCATAGGATGCTGCCTGTACTTGTCCACGCAATGGCATTGTTCCAGAGGGAGTCGTGCTGGGTACCACACACACACTTTAGATCCAAGAAGCTCCAGCACGTGCCATTTTGAGAGCCCAGACCCCATGAGGATTGCCTCTTGCCCTGGGGCCCAACAGCCCTGCATCTCCACATCCCTAGAGCCCCCCTGACATCTCCCCTTATCCACTTAGAGGGCTACAGCAGCATGATGCCGGCTAGACCAGCGGTTTGACCGCGTCTCCAGCACTCTAGCCCACACAAGAGTCCTACACCCCAGGGAATGGGCAATGCAGTGCACCAAGGAGGCCAGCTCCATGACAAAGGAAACCCAAGTGCATGAGCCTGAGAGCCATCTGCCTGTGGCTGCTGCCACTGACAGCAACCCCACATCCCACCCCCAGCAGCAGGGCTGACACAAAATTGCACGTACCTTCATTGTGTCTGGGAACCAGCCCACCCAGATACTGTCCCAGGGCTTGAGGGAAGACTTGCCCCACTCGCCGCCGCTGCACTTCCAGGCAAGCACCTGGGAGCCTGAGGATTGTTCTGTCCCACCTGCTGCCATGGGCACAGGCAAGAACCATCAGGAGGCCCGCCAGCAGACCCAGCGCCACATTGTGACACAGGCTCATACAAAAACCCCTCCCTGGGATGCCCCTACCCCCAGCCCCCACTGCAGCTGTGAGGAAGGAAGCTCTGGCCACTCCCCCTGGTGGCATCTGCTCATTGAGTCCACACACCCCTCACCCTCACCCCCACAGATAAGGGGACAAGTGACATCCTGTGACCAGCAGCAGGATCCCTGGAGGACATCGGCGTCTTGGGTTTGGTTTTCCCACCAACCATCATGTAGTCATGGGGATGAGTTTATCAGAGGGCATTTATGCCACTAGGAGGAATTTTCATGGACAGGGATACCTGGTCTCCCTGGGGGAGTTGACTCAACACTGATTGCTTGGTGATACCATGGGGTGATGCAGACAGTACCCTCTCCCTCCAGGGAGAAGCTGGTTACCCTAGAGTGCAGTGTCCTGGGAACCTTCCCATTAACCTAGCCCTGACTCCAGGAGTTTCAGCCCCATCTTCCCAGGTCTTGACCCAGTTGGGATGGCCCTGGCCAGTGAGGCCCGGCTGGTCCCCCTCAACAAAATGGAAGCTCCATCCTTGATCCCTGGACCCCTCAATCTGGTTTTACATTGGGTAGGTCAGGTGGGGTGATGGCTACCATTTCCTTATTCAAATGGGGGACATGAGAGAGTCTCCAGGGTGTGGTCCTTAAATACCTCCTCCTCCTAAGGGAAGTGGGATCAGTGGGGGATCCCAGGCCTGGGGCAGGAAAGGGACATGACAAGACAGGACCTCTCATCCTCTGCGAAATCAGGAGCCACTGAAGCTTCCGGAGCAATGAAAGAAAATGAGGTGCCCCCTGAGGAGGTGCTCAGTGGGCAAATGTTTATGTTTTGTAGCCACATCATGATCACCAATTCAATATAACCGCAGTGGATCCCACATGTCAGATGTCCTCACATGCTGGAGCTCACTCTGGCTCTATGTTGTTCTGTTCACCCTCGAGTATGGCCGAGCACCAGATCGTCCATTATCAAAGTGGTGAATAAAAGGGAAGAAACTACTTTTCTTCCTTTTTTCCAAAGCAGGAAGCACACTCCTAGGTTCATAGCACAGCTGCTGGGCCCTCCCTTCAGCGACACACTGCAGCTCTCACGAGGAGGTGAAT
Organism: Homo sapiens; assembly: GCF_000001405.40. NCBI lineage: Eukaryota > Metazoa > Chordata > Mammalia > Primates > Hominidae > Homo > Homo sapiens. The sequence continues at coordinate 32,211,155 of NC_000022.11, read as the reverse complement.
GGAAGCCTCAACCCTCTGTCTTCCTTTTTATCTGAAGCACAAAGTTATCGATCATCAAACACAGCTAATGTCACTAAAAGAATGATGAACATGGGTGGCTTTGCTAGAAGTAACCACATGTCCTAGGAAGCAGTTATGCCAATGTCCAGCCTGAACCCCACTGAGCCTCTTGATGCTAGAACAATTTTTCAGGAAAAGAGAAGCTAAAGGAAGCACTGGGTTCCTGCTCAGGGAGGCAGTGGCTGCATCCTGACTGTGGGAGGGTCTCAGGACCAGCTCTCTGCTCCTGCCACTCCTGCCTTGCCAGGAAAAGCCTGACAGCCATTTGGGAGACAGCTGTAGATAGAATGGGTCTAAAAACACATTCACCACTGATAACATCAAGTATTTACTCCACATAGAAACTAAAGTTAAATCCACAAATACGTAATGCACCACGAAGTCAACTAAAAATATACACAATGAAATTCACAAGACATTTGGTGAGACCCTCGTTAACTGTTTTTTCGTGTCAAGAAATCATTGATTCTCTCCATTTAAGTTTGTGATGGCTTTCGCATCTGCTTCAGACTATTGTCTGAGGGAATCGTTTACTCTGTTGTGGGTGAGTCAACATTATTTGAAAATCAAAAATTATGGGGACTCGGTGATGGGAACCTTGGGGACATTATTATTCTTTCATCTCCCTATTTTTGTGTTCAAAGATCTTCATAATAAAAATGTACAACTTATAAAAAGAGGGTGAAGCTTGGGGACAGCGTCCAGGGGTGGAGTGGACCCTGGCAATGTTCCCAGGAGGTCCATGGAGATGAGGGAGACCTGGGTGATCCCCTCTCCCATGGGCTTGACCTGTCATGTCCTGGAAATGGGTCATGCAAAGGTGAAGGGACTCTGAGATGCCTGAAATTCAGTTCAGCTCACAGCTGGGGCAGGGATGGCTGAGACTGAGCTCCACAGGGACTTTCTTTCTGCAGCATTGTGGAAAAATCCCCCAGACCTTGCGTCTCTGTCCCTGCCCTTGCTGGGCTACATCGCTGCTCTGGTGAAGGCAGCTGCCTTCACAGCTGCTGTGTCCCTGATGAACAAGAAATGGTGGGGGTCCCAGGCCCAGGCATTATGGATTGACCAAAGCAACCAAGGCCTCTGAGGGGCCAAACTCCCCACTATCAGGGACTCTAAGATGAGGGTGTCTCTGAATGAGACTGCAGGTGCCCATGGTGAGGGGGTGAGGGGACTGAACAATGGGAGGGAGGGACAGGGGGAGTGGGGCCTGGCAGGATGGGGTTGTTTGGGGCAGTTGAGACCCCTTGGATGCCTGGCCTTGCCTGTAGCCCCAAGGTCACACTCACCCTGCCCTGACCTTATGGGACCCAGTCCTGACTCTAGTCCAGAATAAGACTCTGACAGACTCCCCCCAACAACCACAGGATGCACATTCTGTGCCTGGGATGGTGCCTTTGCTCATTTGACCGGATCCTCCCCTCACACAGGCTGACCATCACAGACTCAGCCACGTACCAAGCACACACTCACTCCACCCCAGAGCCTGACTTTAGAATTAGAAACTTTATGGTTGAGATCTCAGCCACGTGCTGGTTAACTTTGGACCTCACCCTGAGTCCATGTGATTACAACTGATCATCTGTGTGCCTCAGTCTCCTCCCGAGTCCCAGAGCTAGTGACGTGAACACCAGTATCTTGTAGGAAGAAGGCACTGAGGTCCCAGAAGGAAAGTGAGGTACAGAGACCAGGCTTAAGTGACAGGAAGTGGCAGCTGTCTCAGCTGTTTTGGAAGCCTGAGAACTGACTTCCCGGTCCTAAAGTGAGGGATGCTGGCCTCATGCCCCCTCAGGCCAGGACCCTGCACTGAGTGCCTGCGGACATATTTAGACAGCACGTGGCCTCTGCTGGCACTGTCTGGGGACAGCAGAAAAGAGTACTGGGGAGTGGACATGGGAAGATTCTATGTAAAATTCAACAAAAGTGAACTTTCAAAAGAGCCCATAGGGCCCTCCCAGGCCTGCCAGGCCAGCTCACAGCTCCAGGTGGGCACCCCAAGCATCTCAGAGCCACAGAACAGCCACGGCAATGTCCCTTGGGAAGCAGCACCACTTGCCACTTGCTTTGGCTGTGACCTGCATCTCTGGTCTGCTTTCTGTGCATCTTGGCTAAAAGACAGCTGGGAAAGAGGCCACACTCTCCTCCAGGAAGAGAGGCCCAGCAGAAACTGCATTAGCCAGGCAAGCACCAGCTGCCCGACCTGCTCAGGAATAGCATGCGCCACATGCCTGACCAAAGGCCTCTCCCCAAACCCTCTTCTCCCTTGGAGACCAGGACCCTGGAGTCACTCTCTGGAGATCTGGCCAATAACCCCCTGGACCCCAGGGCTGTTTGTGGTTCCCTTGGAAGAAGAAGTAAAGGGCCCAAATGCCTGCAGCACATGCCTGGGGGCTAGACAAGGACACTGACCTGGAGAGGCCTTCCTTCACACCCTGCTGTGGGGCTTGTCGCTCTCCATGCCTTCTCTGCTGCTTCCCTGCTTGACTTCAGCCTCACAGCATGTGGGGTATAACTGGCATGAGGGGCAGGAAGGTGAGGAGGAGGTCCCTAGGCAGGTGCGTGGCTGCAGCACAGAGAGACCAGGGCTCACCGGGCCTGGTGCTTGGCATACTCAGGGGCCTGGAGGATGGGTGCATGGAGTTGGTTTGTGGGAAAAATGAGGCCTTGTTGTGGCAGGGGATGGGGAGCTGCCTGGGCGTGGCCTTCGGTCTGGCAGGGATGAACACCTCAGGATGTGCAGTACCTGGCCCTCAGTCTGCCAGAGATGAATACCCCAGGCTGTGCAGCAGCTTCGGTGTCATCCAACACCACACTGCCTAGGCAACACCTGCCCACAGTGGCTTGGACAAGACACCCCTGTCAGCCCCTGGGCTGTAAGTCAGTGGGCCAGCATCTGCCCAAGGCAGGAATCCTGGGAGGGGCTGGCCATTGTCCCTCCTGACTCAGTTGCTCTCAGCTCCCTACTGTGCCATCAGGTGCTCTCAGGACAGATGCTTCCAGGACAGGCTCTTCTACAAAAACGGGGTTGCCTCCTGGGCCTGGAGTCACACCATAGACAAGGAGGCTTTTGGGCACCTAGCCAGGGTCACTCTGCACACATCTCATGAATGAAAATCCTCATCAGAAAATACATCACCGTTCCTCCAGGATGTGACTGTTTCTAGAGAGGGCCTGGTCTCTATCTCCCACTCCCTCCTCCACATGCTACAAGAAATAGAAGCAGCAGCATAAGAAAATGAAGAGGAACAAGAAAATGATGATAAGGAGAAGAAAAGAAAAAGAACAGACAAGGGAATCAGGAGTCCTATTACAGCTTTTGTCCCCTCCCTGATTCATGAAATTTAAAAAAGCCCAAGACTATCCCAACAAAAAACAAGCAAAAAGATACACAAATAGTCACTACCCAAACTTTGTTAATAATGACACAATGCTGCCACTCACGCCTGGCTCAGGACCTACCAGGAGGAGGGCGCCCTCCAGATTCTGCAGGAGAAGCGGAGGAGACTCCTCCTTCCCCAGGCTGCGCCTCCACCGCTGCCCCAGAGGCCCACAGCTTCCTACCCACCCCAGGCCAGGCCCAGCCGGGCGGGTCAGCCCTGGAGCGCTCCTACCCGCCTTCCCAACCTCCAGACTTGCTGCTGCTGCCACCACTAGCACTGATGCCAATACAACCACTGTTCCTGTTGCCCTCAGTCCACTGGTCCACCCTACAAGGCTCCTACCACCTGGATACCACAGCAGGCCTGCCCTTGCCCAGGCAGCAGCCAGCCGCCCTCCTACTGCTCTGGCACTCTGCAGTCTCCATTGCTGCTCTCCTACCGCTCTGGTGCTCTGTAGTCTCCATCGCCACCACCAACCACAGCAAGGTGAGCTGCGGTGCCCCCAGCTCCAGCCTCCAGCATGGAATAAGTGGCTCCTCCTCCTGGCACGGAGCAACTGGGCAGGCAAAGTCAGATAAGCCTAGAACAGGATGCAGAGAGTGGTAGCATTAGAGTCTCACCTTGTCATGCTGGCCACTAGGTGGCAGGGGCCAGTTTTAGCAAAGGCACTCACACCTACCCTCCAAAGCCCAGCCTCCCTTTTTGGCCCAAGTTCACCAGGAACTGGGGCCTGGGGTGGGGACTGGAGACACCACAGTACAGCGTCCGGGCTTCCCACTCGGCACGAATCGCTGGGCCCACCCCTGGCTGCGCTCCTCAGGAAGCAGAAGCAGCAGAAACTCAACCCCAGCCAGCCCTCCCCACCCAAGTGCCGGTACCTCTTCCTGACACCTCCACCCACAGGGCCCTGTCACTCCATGATGTCCGCTACTGTGTGCCCAGGGGTCCCAGACGGTCTCAGCAACACATGGTGAGAGGGCGCGCGCCTGGGAACCACAGCAGGTCTAGGGGCCGGGCCGTGCTCAGGATCCCCGCAGAAATGCTGTGTGCTGGCCAGGAGCAGAAGGAGATGGCCCTCTAGAGACTGGAGTCCCTCTCACCTCCTCTGACCACCGCTGTCACTGACACCTCCGCTGCCCACCACCAGGGGGACGGTGCAGCCCCCGATAGCGCCCCCGACCCTCCCCCACAGCTGGCAGTGTAGCACCAGATGGCAACCCCAACCCGCCCCTGCCTCGGACACTGCAGCACCAATGGCACCCGCAACCCACCCCCTGCCTTGGGCAGCGCAGCCCGGGATAGCGCCCCCAACCCGCTCCCTGCCGTAGGCAGTGGCTGTAGACAGTGTAGCCATGGGTAGCGACCCCAACCAGACCCCTGCCGTGGGCAGTGATGCCCCGATATGGCACCCAAATCGCCCCCTACCCCGGGCAGTGCAACCCTGGATAGTGCCCCTACCTGCTCCCCACCAGGAGAAGCAGCCCAGGATAGCACCCTCAACCCACTTCCTGCCTCCAGGCAGTGCAGCCACAGATAGCACCCAAACTTACTCCCCACCTCGGGCAGTGCGGCCACAGACAGCTCACCTAAACCACCCCCTGCCAAGGGCAGTGTAGCCCCCTATAGTGCACCCAACCTGCCCCTGCTGCAGCCAGTGCAGCCCCAGATAGCACACCCACCCGCTCCCTGCTAGGCAGTACAGACCCCTGATAGCACCCAACCCACCCCTCCACCGCAGGCAGTGTACCCGGCCCTCAATAGCGCCCCCAACCAACGCCCCCACCCCCTCTCCATGGGCAGTCCAGCCCCGGTACCAATCCCAACAACCCCCCGCTACCTGTCTCAGTGTAGCCCCCAGAGAGCGCCCTCAACAACCCCCTCCCCACTGCCAGCAGTGTAGCACCCTATAGTGACCCTAACCCGTCCCCCACCACCAGCATTGCAGCCCCAAATAGTGCCCCCAACCCGCTCCCCACTGTGGGCAGTGCAGCCATGGATAGTGTCCCCAACCAGCTCCCAGATGCAGGCAATGATGCCCTGGATATCACGCCCGCCCCCGTCCCCCACAGGCAGAGTAGCACCGGATAGCAGCACCCACCCTCGCCACCAGCAGTGTTGCACCCACCAGCCCCCCACAACCTGTCCCCAACAAGGGCATCAGGGCATTGCAGCACCTGATAGTTCTACTAACTCACCCCCGCCCCCCGGCCGCGGGCAGTGCATCCCCAGATAGTGCCCCCAAAACTCCCCACTGCCGCAGGAATTACAGCTTCGGATAGCGCCCCAACCCATCTCCAGCCATAGGCTGGATAGCGCCCCCGGATAGCGCCCCCACCCCACTCCCCTCAGCGGGCAGTGACGCCCGAGGTACCACACTCAAGCAGCCCCCCAACACGGGCAGTGACGCCCTGGATAGGGCCCCCAACCCGCCCCCCACGCCACAGGCAGTACGGCCTGGGATAACGAACCTATTCTGCCACCTTTTCACCATTCTGGCTGCGCTGTAGTCACCCTCGCGGCCACCAACCGCAGCAGCGAGGTGAGCCACTGTAGGCTCCAGCCTCCAGCATGCGCGGTAGATGACTCTAGCCTCTGGCATGCGCGGCAAGTGGCTCCTCCTCCTTCTCCTCTAAGCCGGGCACAGAGCAGCTACGCAGGCCGACGCAGATGAGCCTGGAAGGGCAAGCCACCCCTCTTGGCATCCTTTATATACTGAGTTTAATGCAAATGAAGTTTCTCGACTACATAGTCTGATCGGATGAGAGAAACCTCTAGGCCTACTCTGATCGGGCTTTGTTATCTTGTTCTGATTGGTTATCCTAAGACTTGCTGTCATCCAGTCAGAACGTGAAAATAAAGCACAATCAGAGTAGACCTAGAGGTTTTTCTCTCATCCAATCTGAACATGTAGTCCAGAAACCTTACTTGCATAACCTCGGTCTGTGGGGGGAGGGGTTCTTGCCATTCCAGGCACTTCTGCGTCTGCCAGCCCATCTGCTCCATGCCCAGGTTAGAGGAGGAGTCACCTGTCCCACGCTGGAGGCTTGAAAGCCTGCAGCAGCATGGCTCGGCTCGCTGCCGTTGGTGGCGGTGAGGGAGACTAGACCGCAGCCAGAATGTAGAAAGGTGGCGGGGTGGATGAGCTATCCAGGGCTCACTGCCTGCGGCAGGGGGCGGGGAGGGGGACAGGTTGGATGCACGATCTGGAGCTGCACTGCCCGAGGTGGGAGCGGGGGCGGATTGAGGGCGCCATCGTGGGCTACAACCCGGTGGTGGGAGGCGTGTTAGGGGCAGTATTGGGTGCTGCACTGCCTACAGCACGGGAAGGTTGGGTGCTTTACCGGACGTCATTTCCCGCAGCCGCGGGGTGGCTTGCTGGGGGCGCTATCCGTGGCTGCACTGGTCGCGCTGGGGTACGGGTTGGGGGCGCTATCTGGGACATCAGTGCGCATGGCAGGGAACTTGTTGGCTGTGATATCCGAGGCGTCACTGCCCTTGGCTGGGGGCTGGTTGGGGGCTCTATCTATGGGCTACACTGCCTACAGCCAGGAGCGTGTTGGGGCGTTATCGGGGCGGACTGCCAGTGGCGGGGGTGGGGGTGCGGGTTGGGTGCTATCGGGGGGCTTCACTGCCTGGCAGGGAGTGGATTGGGTGCGCTATTTGGGGTTGGACTGCCGGCGGTGGTTGACTCGGTGGGAGGAGAGGGGCAGAGGGAATGGGTTGGATGCACTATCGGGAGCTACACTGCCCGAGGCGAGGGGGAGATGGGGGCGCCATCGTTGGCTACACCGCATGTAGTGGGGGGCGTGTAAGGAGCAGTAGTGCGTGTTGCATTGCTCATGGCGGGGGAGGGTTGGGTGCGTTATCCCGGGCGTCATTTCCCACAGCGGCGGGGGTCAGTGGAGGGGCTTGTTGAGGGCGCTATCCATGGCTGCACTGGTCGCTGAGGGGCAAGGATTGGGGGCGCTACCTGGGACATCAGTGCCATGGTGGGGAACTTGTTGGGTGTGTTATCCGAGGCATCACTCCCCATGGCTGGGGGCTGGTTGGGGGCGCTACCCATGGGCTGCACTGCCCACAGCCAGGAGCGTGTATGGGACATTATCGGGGGCGGACTGCCAGTGGCTGGGTGGGGAGGCGGGTTGGATGCTATGTGGGGTTGCACTGCCCAGCAGGGAGTGAGTTCGGTGCGCTATCTGGGGTTGCACTGCCGGCGGTGGGTGGCAGATTGGGTGCCCTATCGCTACACTGCCGCGGCGAGTACCGGGTTGGCGGCGCTATCCTGGGCTACACCGCCGGTGGCGGGAGGCGTTTTAGGGGCGCTATCTGGTGCTGCACTGCCCGCGCAGGAGTTGGGTTGGGTGACCTACTCCAGGCGTCACTGCCCGAGGCTGGGGGCTGATTTGGGGCGCTATCCCGGGAGTCATTTCCTGTGGCGAGGGGCTGGTTGAGGGTGGTATCCGTGGCTGCACTGCCCACAGCACAGAGCGGGTTTGGGGAGTTATCCCGGGCTGCGCTGCCCGTGGCAGGGGGCAGGCTGCCAGCGCCATTGGGTGCTGCATGTACTAGGCACGGATGAGTTAGGGGCGCCATCTGGGACTGCACTGCCGGTGGCGGGCGGTGGAGGTGTCAGTGACAGCGGTGGTCTGCAAGAGAGGAGCGGTCCTCCTCTTCCCGGCCACCTCCTCCTGTTCTTGCTCAAGTGCGGCGGGCGCACAGCATTTCCTGAGCGCGGCAGGGGCCCCAGCCCCGTGGTGCTTCCTGGACCCGCCTCCTATTGCTCTGTGTTGCAGAGACCGCCTGGGACCCCGGGGCACGCAGTAGTGGACACGAGGAGGCTACAGGGCCCTGTGGGTGGAGGAGGCATCAGGAACGGGAACCGGCACTTGGGTGGGGAGGGCTGGCTGGGGTTGAGTTTCTGCTGCTCCTGCTTCCCGAGGAGTGCAGCCAGGGTGGCTGCAGCTGTTCCTGTGGAGTGGGAAGCCCGGGCACTGTGGTGTCTGCAGTCCCCACTCCAGGCCGCAGTTCCTGGCCAGCTTGCGCTAAAAGGAGAGGCTGGACTTTGAAGTGTGGGTGTGAGTACCTTCGCTGAAACCGGCCCCTGCCACCCAGTGGCCAGCATGACAAGGTGCGCTCTAATGTTACCACTCTGCATCCTGTTCTAGGCTTTTCTGGCTTTGTCTGCCCGGATGCCCAGTGCCCTGAGAAGGAGCTACATGCCACGGGCTGGAGGCTAGAGCCTGTGGCACCATGATTTGCCTCCGATGGAGGTGGCTGAATTAGGCTTCCCAGAGACTGCAGTGTCCCAATCCAGGATCTGTCTATGTGCTGTATTGTGTGGCCACTGGGACTTTGCAGACATGATGGTGATAAGGAGCCTGAGGTGAGAGACAATTCTGGGTTTTCCGCATTGCTCCAGGGTGGAGTCTTTATAAGGGAAAGAGGAAGGCAGGAGGAGGGTCACAGTGAGAGGAGGAGATGTGGGGATGGAGGGAGAGAGAAGGAGAGGGGAGTCCAGGGAGAGGAAGACAGAAAGTGGGGGGAGAGAAGATCAGGAGAGAGATCTGAAGATGCTGAGCTCTGGCTTTGTAGTTAGAAGAAAGGGCCAGGAGCTGGGGGCGTCCTCTAGAAGCTGGAAAAGTTCTGGAAATGGATTTGTCTCAGAGCCCCCGGAAGGAGCCCGGCCCTGCTGGCACCCTGATCTTAGCAGCTCAGGCCTCATTTTGGACTTCTGACTTCCATACCTGGGAGAGAATAAATGTGTGTTATTTTAAGCCACTAAATTAGGGGTCATTTGTGACAGTGGCCATGGGCAAGTCAAACAGGAGCCGTGGGAGAGACTCACCCAGGATGCCCCTCGGCCCCTCCCTGGCCCCACCCACAGTGACACAGGCCTGCTGCTGCTGATGCCCCCAGTTTTCTAACTCCCTACAGAGCAGGGACAATGCAAGAGGGGCTGGGTGGGGCTGGGCTATGTTCTCTGTCTCCACACCTTCCTCTCAGAGAGCAGCTGGAGCCCCAGAACCTGGGAGCCTCACAGAGAAAGTCCTGATGTGGGACCTGGTTTTCCACCCGAGACCCAGGATCCAATAAAGAAGTGTTTCTATAAATGATGCGTCCTCCAAAGAAGGCCAGTGACTTTCTGTGCCAAGTACCTGAGAGAATCGCCATGTCCTAGAGCTGCCAGGCAGCTGTAGGTGCACTTACAGACACAGGTCACCTGTGCATGTGTCAGAGACCAAATCCCATCAATATTGAGGCCTTGGTTAAGACGGGTCCTCGCTTTTAGTTGTGAAAACATGCCTGGCTTCAACATTGAGAAAACCAACTCTCCTTGACCAAATGCTTTGCATATTCTCATAGAAATAAGGGAACACTTGTCAGGCACAGTGGCTCACACCTGTAATCCCAGCACTTTGGGAGGCCGAGGCAGGCAGATCACGAGGTCAGGAGATCAAGACCATCCTGGCTAATATGGTGAAACCCCGTCTCTACTAAAAATACAAAAAAATTAGCCAGGTGTGGTGGTGGGCGCCTGTAGTCCCAGCTACTCAGGAGGCTGAGGCAGGAGAATGGCGTGAACCTGGAAGGTAGAGCTTGCAGTGAGCTGAGATTGCACCACTGCACTCCAGCCTGGGCGACAGTGTGAGACTGTCTCAAAAAAAAAAAAAAAAAAGGAAATAAGGGAACACCTATTACCCTCCTTGCACTGTTTCCTGCGGAGCTCAGATACTATCTTTCACAAGCATCCTGAGCCACCTGCCGGCCTTTTGTGTGTGTTTCCGTCCTGACTTCCTCCCAATTTTTTACGCCTCTGAACCTGCTGTAAGGTGAAGAATCGAGGCGGGCCCCAAACGTGAGACCTCATGAATTTGATGGTGCTGCAGTGTCCTGGACAGCCCGGCTTTCAGGGCTGGGGAGCTGGGCAGAGAGAAAAGAGGGCATTCCAGGGGTCAGGGGCAGTGGAGCACCAGGCCAAGAATAGGATTTCAAGACTAAAGAAACAGAGGCCGTGGTGGGTGGGTAGACAGTCTTGACCAAGGTAGGGACAGAGGGTGCATCTGAAGGTTCAGCCAGGGACAGCTTCATCCAGGAAGGAGGCAGCAATTGGGGGCCAAGCTGCAAGGAGGAAGAGGAGAGGAGAGAGAATGGAGAGAGAGGTGTTCAATGACCAAATGCATGGCCTGGCCTGTTTCCCCAGGAGACACCCCTGGGAGTCTGGGAGCCTCTCCCCCTGGGCTACTATCCCACTGGGTGCCAGGAATCCCCCCTTACACACACTGAGAACCCAGGGTGAGTGTCAAATTATATGTTAGCTAAGAAATGAAGAGAGGGAGCAGGATTTCTGGTTGACAGTGAGGATATTTATTAAGGGTTTCCTGGGTGCAGGGAGAAGGGCTGGATGATTTGGGGTGGGAGGGGATCCCTGTTCTGGGATCCTGCAGCTCCAGGCCCCCATGGGTGGGGCGAGGGTCAGGGGCCTAAGAACATTCTTCAGGGGCCACTGTCTTCTCCACAGCGCTCTCTTTGTGTGTGACCCGGCAGCTGTAGCTGCTGCGGGACCTCCATTGATGGGGTGTCAGGCTCAGGTCGCTTCTGGCTGTGTACTTGTTGCTCTGTTTGGAGGCCTTGGTGACTTCCATACCCTGGGTGACAGGGGTGCTGTTTGCCTTCCAGGCCACCGTCACAGCTCCCGGGTAGAAGCCACTCATGAGACACAGCAGTGTGGCCTTTTGGCTTGGAGCTCCTCAGAGGAGGACGGGAACAGAGTGACCGAGGGGGTGGCCTTGGGCTGGCCTGTGAGTGGGCGAGCGGCAGGAGGTCAGCATCCTGTTGTGTACCTGGGAGCCCCCTGACCTCAGTGTATGAAGAGGGGTCAGGCCCCCTCAGTGCCAGTGCAGGACCCCTCAGACATGGTCCACAGTGTCTCAGAAGGGTGTCACACAATGTTCCTAAAACAAATCTCTGTCATTCAGGGAACCTCTGAGCCTGTCCCCTGCCCATCACCTGTTCAGAAAACCTTTCTAGGCCCTGGGCTTTTGTACAGACAACAGACCCTCAACCGCCTGCCGCTGCCTGCCACGCATCATCCTGACGCAGTCCGGCTCTGGCTGTGTTCTCTGAGCTCTGTGAGCCTCCTGTTGAATTCAGTCTGGGAACTTTTCTCACCTGACACAGCTGCTCTGGGTTGGGAGAGAGTGAGTCTCTCACCTAATAGCTCTGTTTGCTCCCAGATCAGTCTCTCCTGAGCCTCTGCAGTGGGGTCAGGGCCTTTGCTCACCCAAGTCCCACTGTCTGTCCAGGGTTCTCTGTCTGTGGAGTCCGGTTAGAGACCCTCTGTGTTTAGGTCTTATCTACAGTTTTTCTGCCTTGGGATCTGCCTGTCAGATTTGAATTCAGGAGTTCTTGGTTCTAGGGGTGCCTCCCACAGAGACTCAGCATCCACCTCCACGAACAGCATGTCCTTCTGTGACCCTTTGCCCGGCTGCTTCATGTCCACAGCCTTCCCCTCTCTCCTGACTGGGCTTCCTGAGTCCCAGGCCAGCACAGAGCTCTCTCCTTGGGAGCCCACGGAAACCTGGAGAGGGCCCTGCACCTCCTACCTTGTTCCTAGACTGGATCTGGAGTCCCACAGCCCAAAGGACTAGGCCCTGAGACTCTGATTTTTCTTCCCCAGTCTCGGCTTTAAGGGTTCCAGGTCCTTCTAAAGTCTTGCAGGTGGTCACTCCCTCAAGCCTCTCATTCTCTCTTCTCCATGGGATGAGGCCTCAGTTTCCCCTGCATAAAGCTCATTAGGCAGACAAAAGCCCAGACGGGGGAGGACAGAACAGAGCAAGTTTTAGGGAAGCAACCTGGCCCTGACAGACAGATGGACAGACAGATGAACACCTGTGTAGGTCACCCGGCCTAGTGCCGTACCTCTGAGGTCAGAGGTGAAGGGGTCACGGTGACCCACTGAGGCAGGGATCTGAACAGGGAGGGGAGAGGTCTTTGCCCAGGGCCCGGGCTCCTCCAGGGTCTTTCTCCCTGGAGAAAGCTTTACCACAAGCCAACACGAGATACAGAAAAGAAGAAAAATAGAAAATTTCTCAGTACCTTCGGGAGAGCAGGGAAGGAGAGGGAAGAAGAGACTCACCTAGGACAGTCAGCCGGGTCCTCCATGAAATACCCCACACTGTGACACAGGCTCATAGAAAATCTACTCCCTAGGACCCCCTACGCCCCCCTCCCCAGCCCCCACTTGCAGCCGTGATTCAGGAAAGCCAAACCACTGACCCCGGTGGGCATTTGCTCAGCAGAGAGTCCACACATACCTGCCTGCCCTTCTCAAGCTGAGATGGGACAGCTGACCCCATGCATGCAATGACAGGACATCTGGAAATGCAGAGGCCAAGGAAGTTTGTGTCTGGATCAGGTTTTCCCTTTGACTGTGGCCCAGGAATAGGGGGAAGGAGCTCCTTGGAAGGCATTTGCTTCCCTAAGGAGGGAAGGGGCATGGAAAGGGACAGGGATTCTCTACACTACAGGGTTGTTGTAACCCTGATCTCTTGGTGTGATCACAAAGCAAGAGCAGGGAGGCATCCTCAGGTGTCCCCAATGCCCCAGAGAAGGGGCAGCTTGGCCCAGAGTCAGCAGCCGTGGGAAGGTCCAATCTGACCACAACCACAACTCCAGGGGTCTCCCTTCCATCCTCCCTGGTGTTGTCTTAGTTTGGGATGGGTCTTGCCAGGTACTAGTAAGAAAGTCCAGCCTCAACCTCCAGGGAGAAGTTGGAAGCAAGCCCCTATCACCCTCTCAGGGTCTCATGTTCATTTTGGGTGTGTTTGGAGTGTCTGACTCAAAAGGACTATGTAAGTAGCAGCCGGAGTGTGATCTCTAAATCCCACTTCCAACCCAAAAGTCCATCAATGATAGACTGGATTAAGAAAATGTGGTACATATGCACCATGGAATACTATGCAGCCATAAAAAAGGATGAGTTCATGTCCTTTGTAGGGACATGGATGAAGTTAGAAACCATCATTCTGAGCAAACCAACGCAAGGACAGAAAACCAAACACTGCATGTTCTCACTCGTAGGTGGGATTTGAACAATGAGAACACTTGGACACAGGGTGGGGAACATCACACACCAGGGCCTGTCGTGGGATGGGGGGACAGGGGAGGGATAGCATTAGGAGATATACCTAATGTAAACGACGAGTTAACGGGCGCAGCATATGGCACATGTATACGTATGTAACAAACCTACATGTTGTGCGCATGCACCCCAGAATTTAAAGTATAATAATAAAAAAAAATGAAGTAAAAAAAAAGAAAAAAAAAAGAACTTGGCTTCTGGACTGTGGGTGTGAGGAAAGAAAAGCTCTTTGCAGCCAGCACTGTGCCTTTAACCACCCTCTGGGTCAGTCCCGGGCTATGCAGGGTAGGCATTTTCCTGGATATGTGTATGAGAATGATTTCCTTTTATAACATTAATGATGGGACTCATATCTTTACATTCACTAAGATTTCTGCTGCAGAGCCACTGTGCCCATTTTTTGCTTTTGCAGATTCAATTATCAATGACCAAATCTTCCTGAGTATCTGTCCTGTGATTAATCTGGGCATTGACAAACCTATAGTTTCTCCTGAGCAGGGCAAATAAACTTTTAGCCACAAAACTATTTAGACAGTTACTTTATGCCCAATGCTAGAAACTTTTCTGCTTGGTACAAGATAATGGAACAAAGTTACAGCAGAAAAATATGGAACATCTCAAACCATGAATGTCAATTAAGCAGATTAATAAGAAATTGCCTTTTAAATACTAAAAAGTAGTGTTACAGTTGTCCTTTGGGTTTTACGGACTGTGGCTCCGTGTCCCTCCCACACCTGTCCGAGTGGCTTTTGCTGGCTCTCTGTGCCCTGGCTGCCTCACCCTGCACTATGCTGCTGTCTCATTGACATCACATCTCTTCTGCAAATCTATCTTGCTGTCTGTTCCTTCTTCCCTGGAGCAGCTGAAAGGATCATCTTGTGAATTTGGTTCTTTTCATAAGTCATTCTCACACTCTTTACATTGTATCCAGCCTGGTTTTGGCAGAAAGTTTTTCTCACACAGAGGATAAACCAGGACTGGACTCTGTCTTTACATGTGGATGTGGAGTGACCCAGAATCCAGCAAAGAGCAAACCCCAAATGATTGCTTTATGACCGGATCCAATTCATTCTAATCACGTAAAGTTAACCTGGCTCCCTACACACTGTCTCCCAAGCCTTGTTTTCTTGCTCAGACACTGAATCCCGAGGAGTGATCTCATCCCACTGTAAATCATTTTTTAATAGAACTAAATGTAGGTCTTTTAAAAATATATATACAAAGAAAAAAATCTTCATTTAATATGTGATACACTTTAGGAGAGGGAAATAGATTATATTCAAGTTATTTGAAATTTGAAAACAAAGCTGTTATTTTATGAATTAAGTACAAATTAATCACTAACCTGGCCATTTCCACGATACCTGCAGATTCATCACTTCTCTGGGTCAAGACCTGAGTCTCAGCCTGGAGGACATTATGTTAAGCAAAATAAATCAGGACCAGAAAGATAAATACCGCATGTTCTCACTCCTATATGGGAGGTAAAAGAAAAATGCTGAGCTCACAGAAGCAGAGCATAGAATTGTGGGTATAGAGGCTGGGAGGGTAAGGGGCAGGGGAGCTTGGGGAGAGGTTGGTTATTGGATACAGAATTACAGCTAGATGGGAGAAATGGGCTTTGGTGGAGGCTGGGAAGGGTAAGAGGGAGGGGAGCTTGGGGAGAGGTCGGTAATTGAATATAAAATTACAGCTAGATGGGAGAAATGGGCTCTAGCACAACTGTGGGGTAAATATGGTCACTTATACATGATTGCATATTTTCAGAAAGTTAAGAGGATTCTGAAGGCTCCCATCACAAAGAAATAATAAATGTTGGCCGGGCGCGGTGGCTCACACCTGTAATCCCAGCATTTTGGGAGGCCAAGGCGGGCGGGTTACCTGAAGTCAGGAGTTCAAGACCAGCCTGGACAAAATGGTGAAACCCCGTCTCTACTAAAAAAAAAAAAAAATTAGCCAGGCATGGTGGCACATGCCTGTAATCCCAGCTACTCAGGAGGCTGAGGCAGGAGAATTGCTTGAGCCCAGGAGCCGGATGTTGCAGTGGGCCAAGTTTGTGCCACTGCACTCCAGCCTGGCTGACAGAGCAAGACACTGTCTCAAAAAAAAAGAAAAAAGAAAAGAAAGAAATGTTTAGAGTGTGCTAATTATCCTGACTTGATTATTATACATGCATGTATCAAAATATTACTGTGTGCCATAAATATGTACAATTATTACATGTCAACTGAAAGTAAAGAGGAAAAAAAAGTAAACCAAAACAAGACCTGAGTGTCTCAGAGTCCTCTAATCCCATGAGGAATCATATTTAAAGCTGACCAAAATTAGGTCTTTATTTTTAATTACGCAAAAAGAGAAAATTCCTTTAATATGTGCCAAAGGGATAGGGAAAATGATAAGATTATATTCAAATTATTTGAAATTTGAAAACAAAGCAGTAAAGATCCCACTACACAGAAAGGCATGAAGACGAAAAGATTCGGGGTTGATTCAAATGGAAGAAAGCACAACTCACTTCACGGGTAACAATTTTTATTTGAAAACACAGGTTTCACAAGAAAATCATCTTTTTTTTTAAATTGTGACTTTTATCTTAACACTCTGTGAAGTACTCAAGGTCCAAGAAGCTTAATGGTCATTTGTCAAAATAGTAATTATCTAATTTTTTCCTATGAATTATGAAATTTTTTCAAAGCCGGAAATAAACCAATGGAAACAAATAAAAAGTACCTAGAATTTCCTCAATGGAATGCCTGCCCTTATTACCTTTGAGTCTGATGTATATGAATTTAAACCATTTTGTAAAATTGCAAATCCAATCACACTTAATACTTTAGGATTCCAAGCAAAGCTTGAAGCCTACAACATATTACAGGAATTATCTTTACTGACAACTGATGGAAACATCTCTAAAATAAGCTTTTGAAGTTAGTACATTAAGCCTAATTTAATATAAAGGCAATTTAATCTTACCTTCATATGAAAGAAAAATACACTGTCAGGATGAAGGATTTACTGAAGTTATAATTAACTGGAGATATATCACCAGTAAAAACCTAATTCCCTGTTATAATTAAATCAAAGCCTCATCAGGTTAGAGGGTGTGGAAGGGCGTGACCCAGTGGGAGGTGGGAATCTCACCAATAAAAGGCCCTCGTGTGC